>NC_000003.12:170826786-170978301 GCF_000001405.40 Homo sapiens | reverse complement strand
AAGAGTAATTTGGGTTCTAATTCCACAAACTCACAGCACTTTCATTAGAATTTCCTTGAACCGACATGTGGGGTACTGTGATGATAAAAGTGAATAACCCCCTTCTTATTTACTCACCTCCAATTCTGCTTTGCAAAAGCACATCTATCTCAGCAGGAGGGCATCAGCAAGCAAAATCCCAGGGGAAGTCAGGGTAATGATTCATCCACCCCAGTGTAGATTTCTTCATGTGCTTGCATTATCTTACACTCTTCTCATGAATAGTTCTTTTTATATAATTTTTATTTTCCTGTGTATAGGATCTTGTTTGCCCTATTATTCTTAATAGGTCCTAAAAAGCCTATTTTGTATGTAGGAAAAATAATCTTGGATGTCTTACCCAATTAACTATTACATCACCTGCCACCACTTTCCTAGAATAAGAAACAGGTGATGGTTTCTGAGAACAGAGCACTTCAGTGAAAGACAAGCAGATGAGGAGCAAGTAATACCATGACAACATGGCCAAAGACCTACCCCCTTCCCCTGCATAATTATTGCTATCAAATAAAAACATATATGAAAATATTTTTTGAAAGTCAGTGCCCATCCTCAAATTCACTTTCCCATCTCTGTCATCATCCCTTGCCCACCTCACATTCCTGGGGAAGTAGTACAAGAAGGACGAACAAGGTAGATGTCCTTCATTTGCACTTCCCAAAGGGAGAAAGTATCTGAATGCTGTAAATACAGAACTATGAAAAGGAAAAAAACTCAAGATAAGCTATATACACAGTGAAACAAGAATCACTGTCCTATTGGTTCTACAATTGTTATAAAATTTCATTTTGTATCAACTTAGCAATTACAGACCAAAAACAAATAATAACCTTCCAGTAACTTTGGCACTGAATCATCTGGTGGACAGTCTAATTGTGTTGTCTAAGTTGTGGGGTAGCGTGTTCTATGAATGTGAATCAAGTCAATTTGGTTGATAAGGTTGCTCAGATCTCCTATATCCACACTGATTTTTCTATCTACTTGTCCCATCAATCACTAAGACAGAAGTGTTGAAATCTCCAACTATAACTGTGGATTTGTTGAGTCGTATAACCTGTGCCACTGTCAAACACACTCCTCCCCAACATTTTTACAATTCTAAACTCTACTATTAGTACCACCATATTTTAATGAGGAAACTGAGGCACAGAGAGGTCAAGTGAATTGTGCAAGGCCACTCAACTAGTAAATGGTAAAGCAGGATTCAAACTGAGGTAGTCTGAATCCTACTTTACCATTTACTAGTTGTGGAAGCCCAAGTCCATGCTCTTCACTTCCACAATACCCTGTATCCTGCCTCATCTATGAATTTCAAGAGCAGCTAAGATGAAGCCATGACTTTATTTGCTCTTTACAAGGTGTTTGTGGCACAAGCCAACTTTCAGGGGAGCTCAAACACCATCCCTCTCTCTACTCTCTCCCATCTCCACCCCCACTCAACACAATCTCATCCACCCCTCAAGGGGCACTGATAGAGAACACTCCAAGAGTGTGTTGTTGGGAGTTGCAGCTTTTGGTCAGAAGAGGGTAAAAGCCCTTGCTTCAGCAAGAAGGACTCTTTGGGTTAATTTCTCTCTTTCCAGCTTTTCTTGGTTCTCATCTCCCTTAGCTTTGTTCTCTTCCAGGATGATGTTGAGGATAGGTCTGAGCTCTGCCTTAGGAAGGGCTCCCCAACCCTAAAGAGGACTGGAAGGTGGAGAAAAGCCAAAACTCCTCCAGGGTTTAGCAACTCACCTGTCCTTGCTTCTTTTTGTCACCAGTGTGGTAAGACCTCAGTGGTCAAGTATGGAGTGTGAGCAATAAGGGAAGGGCAACGAAAATCTGTTTTCGGATTTGGCGTTATGCTAGAAAGGCAAAAGGAGTCCTGGTTCTCACACAGTTCAGCCTAGTTCAGCAAGGCCAGGATGCCTCACAGGATTTGTGGTCAAATTTATTCAGCAATGAGCAATGCATACCCTCCTAGAATTTGGCTTCTATGTATGACTCTCTCACGGTGCCTGTAATGGTGGGCTACTGGCCACCTCTGTTTTCATTAGAGATAAACTCAAACTATACTATTCTCCATAGGAATGGAAAAACCACTTTTAAACAAGAAACGTAAATCCTTGTTCCGAATATGGCAGAAGAACTGTTCTGCCGTAGGCCTCAGAAATTTTTTTTTTCAGACCTAAGGGCCCTCCCTTCCTGTTTAGATTAGGGCAAAACTTGGACCCAATGCAGTGTAAGCTAAAAGCCTCAGTGAAGGCCACTGCACTGGATATCTTCAAAGCAAGAGATGACCCATGACTTTCTTTATTCTATTGACAATGAACTGGAAGGTCTAAACTCCAAGCAAAGCTGATATTCAAGCACTTCAGAAGACCAGCTCCCAAAGGCAACCAGACAAGCCCAGCAAAGTGGTGTAATCTTGCCACATTTACCAGGGTCTGACCTCAGCCTTGTGGGCTCAGAAGTCATTCTTGTAGGTCCCAGAGCTGCCTACTTCAGGGATGCAGCATATGTGGCGATAAAGAACAGAAACTCCTGGATTGCTGGCAACATGGCCGAATAGGAACAGCTCCGGTCTGCAGGTACTCAGCGAGATCGATGCAGAAGGCGAGTGATTTCTGCATTTCCAACCGAGGTACCCCGTTCATCTCATTAGGACTGGTTGGACAGTAGGTTAGCTCACAGAGGGCGAGTCAAAGCAGGGTGGGGCATCGCCTCACCGGGAAGTGCAAGGGGTGGGGAATTTTCTCCCCCACCCAAGGGAAGCTGTGAGGGTCTAAGCCTGAGGAACTCCAGCACAGATACTGTGCTTGTCCCACAGTCTTCACAACCTGCAGACCAGGAGATTCCCTCTGGTGAATCTCCCCACCAAGACCCTGGGTTTCAAGCACAAAACTGAGTGGCCATTTGGGCAGACACCAAACTAGCTTCAAGAGTTCTTTTTTTCCATACCCTAGTGGCGCCTGGAATGCCAAGGAGACAGAAGCGTCCACTCCCCTAGGAAGGGGTGCTGAAGCCAGGGAGCCAACTGGTCTGGCTCAACGGGACCCACGCCCACGGAGCCCAGCAAACTAAGATCCACTGGCTTGAAATTCTCACTGCCAGCACAGCAGCAGTCTGAGATCGACCCAGGATATCCAAGTTTGGTGTGAGGAGGGGCATCTACCATTGCTGAGGCTTGAGTAGGCGGTTTTACGCTCACAGTGTAAGCAAAGCCACCTGGAAGTTCGAACTGGGCGGAGCCCACTGCAGCTCAGCAAGGCCACTGCGACCAGACTGCCTCTCTAGATTCCTCCTCTCTGGGCAGGGCATCTTTAAAAAAAAAAAAAAAAAAAGGCAGCAGCCCCCATCAGGGACTTACAGATAAAACCTCCATCTCTCTGGGACAGAGCACTTGGGGAAAGGGGCGACTGTGGGCGAAGCTTCAGCAGACTTAAACGTTCCTGCCTGACAGCTCTGAAGAGAGCACAGGACCTCGCAGCACAGTGTTCCAGCTCTGCTAAGGGTCAGACTGCCTCCTTAAGTGGGTCCCTGACCCCTGTGCCTCCTGACTGGGAGATACCTCCCGGTAGGGGCCGACAGACACCTCACACAGGAGAGCTCTGGCAGGTGCCCCTCTGGGATGAAGCTTCCAGAGGAAAGATCAGGCAGAAATCTTTGCTGTTCTGCAGCCTCCGCTGGTGATACCCAGGCAAACAGGGTCAGGAGTGGACCTCCAGCAAATTCCAGCCGACCTGCAGCAGAGGGGCCTGACTGTCAGAAGGAAAACTAACAAACAGAAAGGAATAGCACGTCCACTCAAAGACTCCATCCGAAAGTCACCAACATCAAAGACCGAAGGTAGATAAATCCACAAAGATGAGGAGAAACCAGAAGGCTAAAAATTCCAAAAACCAGAACACCTCTTCTCCTCCAAAGGATCACAACGCCTCGCCAGCAAGGGAACAAAACTGGGCAGAGAATAAGTTTGATGAATTGACAGAAGTAGGTTTCAGAAGTAATAACGAACTCTTCTGAGCTAAAGGAGCATGTTCTAACCCAAAGCAAGGAAGCTAAGAACCTTGAAAAAAGGTTAGACGAATTGCTAACTAGAATAACCTGTGTAGAGAAGAACATAAATGACCTGATGGAGCTGAAAAACACAGCACGAGAACTTCGTAAAGTATACACAAGTTTCAACAGCCGAATTGGTCAAGCAGAAGAAAGGATATCAGTGATTGAAGATCAACTTAATGAAATAAAGAGAGAAGACGAGATTAGACAAAAAAGAACAAAAAGGAACAAACAAAAGCCTCCAAGAAATATGGGACTATGTGAAAAAACCAATTCTACATTTGAGTGGTGTCCCTGAAAGTGACGAGAATGAAACCAAGTTGGAAAACACTCTTCAGGAGATTACCCATGAGAAGTTCCCCAACCTAGCAAGACGGTCCAACCTTCAAATTCAGGAAATACAGAGAACACTACAAAGATACTCCTCGAGAAGAGCAACCCCAAGACACATAATCGTCAGATTCACCAAGGTTGAAATGAAGGAAAAAATGTTAAGGGCAGCCAGAGAGAAAGGTTGGGTTACCCACAAAGAGAGGCCCATCAGACTAACAGCAGATTTCTCCCCAGAAACCCTACAAACCAGAAGAGAGTGGGGGCCAATATTCAACATTTTTAAAGAAAAGAATTTTCAATCCAGAATTTCATATCCAGCCAAACTAAGTTTCATAAGCAAAGGAGAAAAGCCTTTACAGACAAGCAAATTCTGAGAGATTTTGTCACCACCAGGCCTGCCTTACAAGAGCTCCTAAAGGAAGCACTAAACATGGAAAGAACAAACAGAACCAGCAAAAACATACCAAATTGTAAAGAACATCGACACTATGAAGAAACTGCATCAACTAATAGGCAAAACAACCACCTAGCATCATAATGACAGGATCTAATTCACACATAACAATATTAACCTTAAATGTAAATGGGCTAAATGCCCCAATTAAAAGACATAGACTGGCAAATTGGATAAAGAGTCAAGACCCATTGGTGTGCTGTATTCAGGAGAGCCCATCTCATGTGCAAAGACACACATAGGCTCAAAATAAAAGGATGGAGGAATATTTACCAAGCAAATGGAAAGCAAATAAAAGCAGGAGTTGCAATCCTAATCTCTGACAAAACAGACTTTAAACCAACAAAGATCAAAAGAGACAAACAAGGGCATTACATAATGGTAAAGGGATCAATGCAGCAAGAAGGGCTAACTATCCTAAACATATATGCACCCAATACAGGAGCACCCAGATTCATAAAGCAAGTTCTTAGAGACCTACAAAGAGACTTAGACTCCCACACAATAATAGTGGGAGACTTTAACACCCCATTGTCAATATTAGAAAGATCAACGAGACAGAAAATTAACAAGGATACTCAGAACTTGAACTCAGCTCTGGACCAAGCAGACCTAACAGACATCTACAGAACTGTCCACCCCAAATCAACAGAATATATATTCTTCTCAGCATCTCATCGCACGTATTCCAAAATTGACCACATAGTTGGAAATAAAGCACTCCTCAGCAAATGCAAAAGAATGGAAATCATAACAGTCTCTCAGACACAATGCAATCAAATCAGAACTCGGGATTAAGAAACTCACTCAAAACCGCACAACTACTTGGAAACTGAACAATCTACTCATGGCACTAAGTGCCCACAAGAGAGAGCAGGAAAGATCTAAAATTGACACCCTAACATCAAAATTAAAAGAACTAGAGAAGCAACAGCAAACAAATTCAAAAACTAGCAGAAGACAAGAAATAACTAAGATCAGAGCAGAACTGAAGGAGATAGAGACACAACAAACCCTTCAAAAAAATCAATGATTCCAGGAGCTGGTTTTTTGAACAGATCAACAAAATAGACAGACTGCTAGCCAGACTAATAAAGAAAAGAGAGAAGAATCAAACAGATGCAATAAAAAATGATAAAGTAGATATCACCACTGATCCCACAGAAATACAAACTACCATCAGAGAATACTATAAATATCTCTATGCAAATAAACTAGAAAATCTAGAAGAAATGGATAAATTCCTGGACACATACAACCTCCCAAGTCTTAACGAGGAGGAAGTCGAATCCCTGAAAAAAACAGTAACAAGTTCTGAAATTGAGGCAGTAACTAATAGTCTACCAACCAAAAAAAGTCCAGGACCAGACTGATTCACAGCTGAATTCTACCAGAGGTACAAAGAGGAGCTGGTACCATTCCTTCTGAAACTATTCCAAACAACAGAAAAAGAGACTACTCCATAACTCATTTTACTAGGCCAGCATCATCCATGTACCAAAACCTGGTAGAGACACAACAAAAAAAAGTAAATTTCAGGCCAATATCCCTGATGAACATTGATGCAAAAATCCTCAGTAAAATACTGGCAAACCAAATCCAGCAGCACATCAAAAAGCTTATCCACCACTATCAAGTCAGCTTCATCTCTGTGATGCAAGGCTGGTTCAACATACACAAATCAATAAACGTAATCCATCACATAAACAGAACCAATGACAAAAACCACATGATTACCTCAATAGATGCAGAAAAGGTCTTTGACAAAATTCAACACAGCTTCATGCTAAAACTCTCAATAAACTAGCTATCAATGGAACATATCTCAAAATAATAAAAGCGATTTATGATAAACCCACAGCGAATATCATACTGAATGGGCAAAAACTGGAAGCATCCCCTTTGAAAACCGGCACAAGACAAGGATGCCCTCTTCCACCACTCCTATTCAACATAGTATTGGACGTTCTGGCCAGGGCAATCAGGCAAGAGAAAGAAACAAAGGGTATTCAAATAGGAAGACAGGAAGTCAAACTGTCTCTGTTTGCAGATGACATGATTGTATATTTAGAAAATCCCATTGTCTCAGCCCAAAATCTCCTTAAGCTGATAAGCAACTTCAGCAAAGTCTCAGGATACAAAATCAATGTGCAAAAATCACAAGCATTCCTATACACCAATAACAGAGAGCCAAATCATGAGTGAACTCCCATTCACAAATGCTACAAAGAGAATAAAATACCTAGGAATCCAACTTACAAGGGATGCGAAGGACCTCTTCAAGAACTACAAACCACTGCTCAAGGAAATAAGAGAGAATACAAACAAATGGAAAAACTTTCCATGCTCATGAATAGGAAGAATCAATATCATGAAAATGGCCATACTGCCCAAAGTAATTTATAGATTCAATGCTATCCCATCAAGCTACCACTGACTTTCTTCACAGAATTAGAAAAAAACCACTTTAAACTTCAAATGGAACCAAAAAAGAGCCCGCATAGCCAAGACAATCCTGGGCAAGAAGAACAAAGCTGGAGGCATCACGCTACCTGACTTCAAACTATACTACATGGCTACAGTAACCAAAACAGCATGGTACTGGTACCAAAACAGACATACAGACCAATGGAACAGAACAGAGACCTCAGAAATAACACCACACATCTACAACCATGTGATCTTTGACAAACCTGGCACAAACAAGTAATGGGGAAAAGATTCACTATTTAATAAATGATGTTGGGAAAACTGGCTAGCCATATGCAGAAAACTGAAACTGGACCCCTTCCTTACACCTTATACAAAAATCAACTCAAGATGAATCAAAGACTTAAACATAAGACCTAGGACCATTAAAATCCTAGAAGAAAACCTGGGCAATACCATTCAGGACATAGGCATGGGCAAAGACTTCATGTCTAAAACACCAAAAGCAATGGCAACAAAAGACAAAATTGATAAATGGGATATAATTAAACTAAAGAGCTTCTGCACGGCAAAAGAAACTATCATCAGAGTGATACAGAATGGGAGAAAATTTTTGTAATCTATCCATCTGACAAAGGGCTAATATCCAGAATCTACCAGGAACTTAAACACATTTACAAGAAAAAAACAAGCAACCCCATCAAAAAGTAGGCAAAGGATATGAACAGACACTTCTCAAAAGAAGACATTTATGTAGCCAACAGACACATGAAAAAATGCTCATCATCACTGGTCATCAGAGAAATGCAAATTAAAACCATAATGAGATACCATCTCACACCAGTTAGAATGGCGATCATTAAAAAGTCAGGAAACAACAGATGCAGGAGAGGATGTGGAGAAATAGGAACGCTTTTACACAGTTGGTGGGAGTGTAAATTTGTTCAACCATTGTGGAAGACAGTGTGGTGATTCCTCAAGGATCTAGAACTAGAAATACCATTTGACCCAGAGATCCCATTACTGGATATATACCCAAAGGATTTTAAATCATTCTATTATAAAGACATGTGCACAGGTATGTTTATTGTGGCACTATTCACAATAGCAAAAGACTTGGAACCAACCCAAATGTCCATCAATGATAGACTAGATAAAGAAAATCTGGCACATATACACCTTGGAATACTATGCAGCCATAAAAAAGGATGAGTTCGGCTGGGCGCGGTGGCTCACACCTGTAATCCCAGCACTTTGGGAGGCCGAGGCAGGCGGACCACGAGGTCAGGAGATCGAGACCATCCTGGCTTACATGGTGAAACCCCGTCTCTACTAAAAATACAAAAAAATTAGCCGGGTGTGGTGGCGGGCGCCTGTAGTCCCAGCTACTCGGGAGGCTGGGGCAGGAGAATGGCGTGAACCTGGGAGGCGGAGCTTGCAGTGAGCCGAGATCGCGCCACTGCACTCCAACCTGGGCGACAGAGCGAGACTCCATCTCAAAAAAAAAAAAAAAAAAGAAAAAAAAAGGATGAGTTCAAGTCCTTTGCAGGGACATGGATGAAGCTGGAAACCATCATTCTCAGTAAACTATCACGAGAACAGAAAACCACCAACACTGCATGTTCTTACTCATAAGTGGGAGTTGAACAATGAGAACACTTGGATATGGTGGAGGAACATCACACACCAGAGCCTGTCAGGGGGTCAGGGGCTAGGGAAGGGATAACATTAGGAGAAATACCTAATGTAGATGATGGGTTGATGGGTGCAGTAAACCCCCATGGCATGTGTATACCTATGTAACAAAACTGCACGTTCTGTACATGCACACCAGAACTTAAAGTATAATTAAAAAAAAAAAAAAAGAACAGAAACTCTGGAGTCAAACTACCTCTGTTTGAACCCGGGCTCTACCCTTTACTAGCTGCAAGTTACTTCACCTCCCTGTGTCTCAGTTTTCGCATTTGAAAAATGGTGATGATAACAGCAGCAGCTACCTTCTATGATTGCTATGAGAATGAAATAAGTTAATATTTGAATAGCGTTAAGATCAGTGTCTGGCACATAGTTCATGCTATATGAGTGTTATTAAAAGATTGATAAGAGACTGGTCTTAATATCGGAGTGGGAAATTATTTGACAATAAGGAAATAAAGTTGTGAAGCAAGTAGAGACTCATGTTGACCCGACCTGGTCCCAAGAGAAGACAAATCTACATGGTTCTTGGTAAACGTGGAATATCAGCAAGCAAGAGGAGTTGTTATAACTTAAGTATCTAGTAGCATTAGGTTCTAAGATAGTTTCAGGTTGGACAGTCTTTCTACAAATATATTAGTCTATTTATGAGGCAAAAATTGCAGGCTCGAGGGGCCTATCTGGTTGCTATAAGGTTATTTTGCATATCTTTGCACTGATATATGTTAGCAGTATAATAATATAATAATAATAATTTGGTAAGGATTTGCTCTGTCCATTATAAACATAAATATTTTCTTACTTATTCCACACAACATTCCTATAAAGTAAATGCTGTTACAGAAGAGAAAACCACAATGTAGAGAGATACCCGTGGTCCCTCTGGGATTTTTCCCTTGCAGTTTCCTTGCCTGGAACACACATCTATCAGTCACTTGGATCACTCCTATTCATCCTTCAAGATTCAATTCTACCGTTTCCTCCTCTAGAAAGCAGGTCCCAACTCTCCCTCTCTGGAGCCTCCTCTGAGCCTGGCATCCTTCCTCACTTCCCTGTTTCTTCCTCTGCATTACCTCCACAAAGCACCCACGACATCATATTAAAATGTTCTCAGCTATCTCCTCCACTAGGCCAACCTGTGCATTTTTATGGCTAAATCTTTTTTCTTTCTAGAAGATGCTCAATATTTGGCAGAAATTATTATTTAGCAGAATGAGCAGAGTACCTGATATTGAGTAAGTGCTCAAATACTTGGGGAATCACAAACTATATGATGATAAAGGGTTCAAGCACCAAATGGGTGGCTGAACTAAGTATCCTTTAAGGTCCCTTCCAATTCTGAGAATGATGGCTCTGAGACTCAGGTTAGAGCCTGGCTGGCTTGAATAGCTGGCACCAGCCTTCACTGGAAAAAGAGAAGTGACTTTAAGAGGAAGATAAGGAAGTCAGTTGTGAGTTTAAATAAGCCAAAGAAACTGCCCCTTCGAAACTGGTAAACTCACTGGATGTGGTGGCAGGTGCCTGTGGTCCCAGCTACTTGGGAGGCTGAGGCAAGAGGATTCCTTAAGCCTCGGAGGTTAAGGCTGCAGTGAGTCATGATCATGCCACTGCACTCCAGCCTGGGTGACAGAGTGAGACCCTGCCCCTCCACCAAAACAAAGGTAAACTTATCTAAAAGTGAAGAGCTGAAACATTTTCTTAAAGAAACAAAAACCCCTCAGCATATTATAATGATAGCCTATACAATGCCACTTCCAATTTTCCTCTGCAAATTTCTATAGTTCCTAGGTATTATAGTAATCTGACCTTAGAAATAATCCAACTTGAATAATAACCTCTAAGAATAAACTGTTCAGTTAGATAAAACAGATAGTATCTCAAAGGATATGAAAATACCATGTATGAAGAGTCAGTCACTCCCTGTGACCAAATGGGCACTGCAACAGTGGCAGTGGGCCCCTGCCAGGCTCCATTCCCAGCCTCAATGTACTGTTGACCTCTATTGATTATCCCTGTGACCTTCAGCAAGTTGTCTCATTCGGCTGTCATTCTTTTCTGCTATCCAAGAGCTTCATGAATTGTAAATCAATTTAAAACTGATCAGCACATATCAACTCCCACTTAAAGTTTGTTCCAAAGCATAGTTGTTTTTCATTAGTCCAAAATATGTCAAAAACATTTTATTACACTAGGAAACCCATGGTGAAAAATCTCACTCAATAACAAGCATATTTATTCCACTTACACCTTGGAAGTAAGCTTAACAAAAATGTAGCATGGTTCCTTTTGTCTTCTTTTCAATGTCTCTTCATTGCAGGAAAAATATTTTGAGGGGTCTCTGTTAGAAGGCTGGTTTTGATTGCAGTGTCAGAATCTAAATTTTATCATAAATATTGATAGATTCAAGAGTAACAAAGGAGGGGGTCCCCAATTATCTATTATACAGCCAAATTTAATCTGAGGGTGTGGGAATATTAATTTCTTTGTGGAAGTCAATGCAAGATAATATGCTCATGTTCTGATGCAAATCTGTAATTTGAAGTTGGGTTTGTCAATAACAGTGCCACTGTAGTACAAAATCAAAGTTTAATGTGCCTTTGTTCATGTGCTTTCCTAATGCATTTCAGAGTCCACTTGTGGCACAGATAAGCTCTGAAATTTGCAGTTGTGGATTTTATCCAGGGGACTCTCTGCCAAGTGTGGTTATTTTAACTTATGAAAATCACTCCACCTCATAGAGAAGTTTTAGGGCAGTAAAACTAGTCTAGATGATACTATACGAGTAGATACATGTCATTTATACATTTGTCCAAATCTATAGAATGCACAATATCAAGAGCAAGCCCTAATGTAAATTATGGACTTTGGATAACAATAATATGTCAATATAGGCTCATGGATTGTAGCTAATGCACCATTCTGGTGGGAAATGCTGATAATGGGGGAAGCTGTGCATGTGTGAGGGGGAGGTAAATGAGAACTCTCTGCTCCTTTCTCTCAATTTTGGTGTGAACCTAAAACTGCCCTAAAAATAGTCTGTTAAAAACAATTGCCCTTCCTGAGGCCGTTTGTTTCTCTTAAGTAGCTCTAAATGTTGGAAACTACTTCATTAAATCAACCCAAAATCTGCCTCACTGAAAATTTCTTCCATTTTTCAGGTGGGAACACCTTCCAGATAAAAGCTAGAGGAGCCCAATTTCAGCTTGCATAATGAATTTCTAACAAATATTTCAATGGACAGTAAGTTCCCTGCCAACGTGAGCACTGCATGAATTAAACATATACTATGTGCCAGGCACTCTTAAATGTTTTACCCGTAATAAATTTTCTATCACAATAGCACCTTTATGTGGGTACTATTATTATCCCTTTATTGGACAGCTATAGTGCAAGCATTCCTGACATTTCTGTCAGGATGATTTTCCCTTTTCTCAGTCTTCCAAATGTTTCTTCAATCTCCTGGGAAGGCTAGTAGCTATAGAGAACACAGTTCTGGAGCCAGAGAGACCAGGGTTTGAATCTTGCCCTCACCACACTGACCAGCTTTGGAAACTTATGTGTGTTTTCCATGATTTTTTTTTCCTCATCCATAAATCATACACTAAAATGTAAAGCACATGACACATTGACATTTTAATAAATATTCACTCATTATCTCTAGTTTCCCTCCCTAAGAAAGATGGAGTCCTTTGAGTAATGAACACAAATTATTCTGGTCACTGATGAGCACTCTCCTACTTTGAAAAATGCTGTAGCATTAATGTGTGAAGCTGCCCTAAGAGCTAATTATCCACTGGAGAGACTGGAGAGATTCCACCTCTGAGCTGTACAAAGTTGATGGCAGATACCACTGTGGTAAAGGCAGCCCATGAGACCTTAAGAGAGCAACCAGCCTGCCTCCCTTCCACTATCTTCTCTCTCCACAGGCAACAGCTGATGGACAGGCTTTCTTGGGTGTCTGATGCTTCTTTCAATCTGATCTTCTAATGTGCTTCCTCCATACTGCTTCTCTTACCCTTGTCCAGTTAGTTCCCCAGAGCCTATAAGCCTGCCATATTGGGGCTGGGGCAAAGTAACCTGCACCCTCCACACATGCCCACCACTTAGCTCACCTGGGAGCCTTTTAACAAAGCTTACAGGCCATTTGAATTTGTATATTCAATGGTGATGTTCAGGGGATAAATTCTAGCCTTGTCATTTACACTAAGGAGAGAGTAACTGGCAGTTCCTGCTTGTGTGGTTGACTGTCTGCTGTTTGCAAAATATCTATAGCTCCTACTGCCCAAATTATTGATTACTGCTTACCGCAGACAGCAGTGGCATGGCTTGGACAGTGCCAGGCCACTGAGGGTTGCTGCATACCAAGTGGCCTCTCTACCACTCTCATTTCCTAATTGTCAATGCCAACTACAGCCAAAGTACCACTTAGCTGAAGGCACCAGCATCTTTTATTTTGGCCTAGCTGCTTCAGCCAGTGCTTGGCCTAGTGCTTCAGCACTAATCTGTCATTCATTTAAGAGTGGTTCACAACCCTGTCTGTACATTAAAATCACCTGTGAAGTTAAAAAAAAAATTACCCAGGACTGCTCCATCCCCCAGGTATTCTGGTTTATTTGTTCTGGGATGAGACTAGACATAGTCTTATTTTCAAAGCTCTTCAGGTGAACCTAATGTACAGGCTGGATCCAGAACCCCCAATTTAAGAACTCTGAAAGGGTATACACCAAAATATTCATACTGGGTCTATCTGGGTGGTAGAATTACATAATAAATTCTACTTTTTTGTTGTTCTTGTTTTATCTTTAAAAGCATGCAAGTGTTTAAGTTGTGTATGAGAAAGGCTTTTTT
Organism: Homo sapiens; assembly: GCF_000001405.40. Lineage (NCBI taxonomy): Eukaryota > Metazoa > Chordata > Mammalia > Primates > Hominidae > Homo > Homo sapiens. The sequence goes on along the minus strand of NC_000003.12, from coordinate 170,964,461 downwards.
TTTCCAAAAAAGTAACCCTCAAATTAACATAAAATTAAATTTCTATTTTAATTAATAGTCCCAATTTGAAATAAAGTTGGGGTGAACTATGTAAGTAATAATATTTCTTTTAAAAATAAATGGGATTAATGCAAACAACATATACTCCAAATGCGGGAGACTTTAACATTCTATCATGATTTCAAGAATTAGAGTCCTCCCTACCCATAAATAGCTCTATCAGGGTCAGAAACCCTTTTCCCTACCCTTTTCACTTATCCATATCAGGGACAATGACTCATCCTCATATACATATCTGGGCCCCCTTGGGATTCATCTCAGCATAGACAGGAAAGATATAAAAGACCCCATTCTGAAAAAGATTGAGCTTAAAATCTATTACATAAGATGCATATGCTAGTGGCTTGATTTGACTTATATAGATCTGGGACATATATGCCTGCCAACTATAGGTATTGGAGTTCTCTAAAGTCCCCTACCAGGGGAAAACACTCCTTGGTGAGATGTGTACACTGAGTATTTAGGGAGATTTTATGTAAATTGGTAAAATTTTAGTTTCTTTAACTACAAAATGTCTCTCACCTGCTTTCCTTCTCACTGGGCAACTTCCTCTTTATTAAAATTGACATCATCACTTATTATCCCATACAAATGTGCTTGTTCAGCTCCCACAATAAAATGTCTGGCCCAAAATGCCAATAGAGCTAAAGCTGAGAAACCCTAGCTTATGTATATATATGACCTCATTTATATTTTCTGAGGGCTACTTTGCTCACTTGTAACATGGGAATAAAAATACCTTCAAGGTATTTTCTGACCCTTGAAAACATAAATGATTTACTCAAGAGTACCTATCTAATAAACAATAATACTAAATATTGGACCCAGATTTCTAAATGCAGTTACCTTTCTATTTCATTACAATCTTGGTATCTACTAGATTCTTACAGCTCTCCTACTTGTATTCCCGCCTCCCTCCTTTCCTGAGCATGGTAACCCCACTCTTCAACCCTCATTTTTTTCTACCTGGCTTTCTTACCTTTTCTGACCTCCGATACTGTCTTCTCTTGGGTTATCATTTGGCCTTCTTATCCTCTGGTTCTATGTTAGGCCCAAGTAACAATGTTAGAGCCTGAAATTCCTTCCTTCATTAATGAATGTACACAATGGAATAACATTAGGAATATAATTTCTCTCCTAAATATTTTTATTGTTTGCTTAATATAGGTGCTCAGAGTTAAAACTTAGGGGGAAAAAAGATAGCAAGAGAGAAAATTTAAATCGGTCAATCTCCAAATCTAGAAATATATCTCTGCCATCAATTTTAGTATTTTCTCTATGCAAATCTTTTCTTCTATTAAAAAGCATTATGTCAACAATATGGTGTATTTTTTTTCCTATAATAACACTGGGGGCCTCTTTCTATGCCACTAAATATTGTTCTCGAGCACCATTTTTAATAGCTCCATAGTAATTCATTGTATGGATATATTAGAATGTCTTTAACCAACTTTGTATTGTTGGTTAGGCTGCTTCTAATTTTTAGCTTTTACAAACATATTTTGTAACATATACGAAATATTCTTAAAGCAAATCTTTGATCATTCTTTTCATGTTTTTACCTAGAAGAATATATAGATCAAATGACATTCAAGAATTTAAGGGTTTTGACAGACTCAAATTGAAAGGAAATTTTACTTCAAATTGATAACTTTTTTTTTTGGTAGGTGGGGCTGCTAAGCCATGAACATCCTTTATCCAGGTTGGTTTCTCACTATGGTGGCCTCTCATTGCTTATCTGTGAAATGAACAACCAGAGTAAGGCTGGCAGTTGGTGGTAATTAGTCAGTACTTTTACCACTACTATAAACTACTTCTGAATAATCTTGAAATTCAATTCCACTGACCTTTAGTAAATTCCACATCATATTAAACACAATCCAAAGACTATAAACATAAACTGCCTACCTTGGAGGTGTTTATAATTTAGTGTACACACATTATTATGTAATACAAAATGTTATCAGTTTGGTAAGAAAATTTAAAAGTGCTGTAGAAAGAGGAATATTTCTGAGTAAGGTGTTTGGGGAAATTGTCATGAGGGAAATGATATTTAATTCAGGCTTCAATGATGGGCAAGGTCAGATTTTGAACTGGCAATAGGCAGAAGGGCATTGGGAGTATGGAGACACACAAAGCAGAATAGTCAGTGGCAAGAAAGTGTATGACATTTATTTGAAAAAAAAAGGACAGCAGTCAATGTTTCTCCTGAGTAGGGTTAATGCAAGGCAACAATAATAGATACACTGGGAAAAGAAGATTGGTATCAAACTGTAAATTCTTTGCTGAGGAGTGGAAACTATTTGGAGGGGAATAGGGAGCTGATGAAGGGGACAGAAATGCTGCACGAAGGTTACTCTGTGAGCAGTGTGGATCACAGTGGCATCTGGTGTTGGGAATTATCACAGTAGCTCTTTTGTGAGAAGAAAATAAGGGCCTGGAAATGAGAAAGGTCGAAGAGAAGGAAACTGACAGCCAGAAAACGTATAGCTGAACCTCTTCAAATTGTGTAAAATATAATAATGCAAGCAAGAGTAAAATTGGCAAATTTAAAAAGCTTGATTTATAGTCTATGTTCCTCCCACCCAAATTTTTCCTAAATTAATATGCAACTGTCAGCACAGATTGTTTGCTGTTAATTTAACTACATTTGAAAAGCTTTAGCACCACCTGGTGATGAAAACTCAGATCGACTCCAACAACCCTAAATTCCATCTTTTTTTCTGCCAAGTTTTTATTTTGAAAACATTTCAAACATACATAAAATTTTAAAGAATACTGTAATAACACCCTTACACCTTCATCATATTTACCAATTGTTATGTTTTGCCACATTTGCTTTAGTTCTTCCTCTATGTGTTGAACCATCTGAAAGTAAACTACAGACACTAAAACAATTCAAAAACTGTCAGCATAAACTTCCTGAAAGGATACCCTCTGCATAATGACAATACCATCTCCTTACCTGAAAAATTAATAATTTTACACCATCATCTAATATGCAATCTATATTCAAATCTTCCAAGTTTTCATCAAAAAAAATGTTTTTAAGTTTGCATTTTTAAGGCCAGAATGTAATCAAGACTTACGCTTTGCATTTGGTTGACATGTTTCAGGGGTCTCTTTTAATCTAGAGCAATTCTCACTTTTTATTTTGGCCTTCCATGGAGGCCTTTGCTGACTATCTTATCCAAGATCCACCCTACCCCCATTGGGGTAGGGTGCTTTTCTGTCTTTGCTTTTCTGCCCCCATTTTACTTAACATTTATTGACACTTAGCATTTAGCGGCTTTCCCTCTTCCTTTTTTTTTTTTCTTGCCTGTCTCTTCCCACTGAAGTATCAGCTCCATGAGAAGAAGGATTTTGTTTGTTTTGTTCACTGCCCACTGCTCCATCCTCAGTATCCAGAACAGTGCCTGGTATACAAAAAGTGCTCAATAAATACTATCTGTTGAAGGAAAGCATTGACCTCTGGGAGTTTGATTATTAAATGTCTTGAGGTAATATTATTTGGGTTAAATCTGCTTGTTATTCTATAACCTTCTTGTACTTGAATATTGATATCTTTCTCTAGGTCTGGAAAGTTCTGTTATTATCTCTTCAAATAAACTTTGTATCCTGGACTCTCACTCTAATTCTTTTTTAAGGCCAATTACTCTTAGATCTGCCCTTTAGGGGCTATTTTCTAGATCTTGTGGGCATTTTTCCTTTTTTTTTTTTTTGAGATGGCATCTTACTCTGTCGCCTAGGCTGGAGTGCAATGCGGCGATTTCGGCCTACTACAACCTCCACCCCCCCGGTTTCAAGCAATTCTCCTGCCTCAGCCTCCAAAGTAGCTGGGATTATAGGTGCCTGCCACTGCACCTGGCTAATTTTTGTATTTTTAGTAGGGACGGGGTTTCACCATCTTGGCCAGGCTGGTCTTGAACTCCTGACCTCGTGATCCACCCACCTCAGCCTCCCAAAGTCCTGGGATTACAGGAATGAGCCACCGCGCCCGGCCAAGCAGGCATGTTTCATTCCATTTTATTCTTTTTTGTCTCCTCTGCCTGTATATTTTTAAGCAGCCTGTCTTCATGGTCACTAATTATTTCTTCCACTTAATCCACTTTGCTGTTGAGAGAATCTGAAGCTTTCTTCCATTTATCAATTGTATTTTTTAGCTTTGGGATTTTTACATGATTTTTAACAATTATTTCAATCTTTTTGTTACATTTATCTGACGGGATTCTAAATTTCTTCTCTGTGTTATCTTGAATTTCATTGTCTTTTAAAACACCTATTTTGAAATCTCTGAGAGATTACATGTCTCTGTCTCTCTGGGATTTGCCCTTAGTCTCTTATTTAGTCCATTTGGTGTGGTCATGCTTCCTGGATGTTTCTGATGCTTGTGGATGTTTGCTGGTGTCTGGGTATTGAAGAGTTAGGTATTTATTCCAATCTTTGCATTCTGGGCCTGTTTACACCTGTCCTTGAGAAAGCTTTCCAAGTATCCAAAGGGAATTGAGGGTGTACAGCAAATCACCATGGCCACATGTCTACCTATGTAACATACCTGCATATTCTGCATCTGTATCCTGGAACTTAAAGTAAAAATTTAAAAAAAAATTACGTAAATGTGTTTAAGAAAACTACCTAAAGCCAGGGAAAGAACCATCTGAAAGAATAAAGGACATAATGTGTAGAACTCACACAGGCCTGGGAACAGTGACTGTTCCCACCAGCCAGCTGTAAGAATCTCATAAATCAGGGGCATTGAGTAGAGTACTCAGGAAGGCATTATCTCAGCACTGGGAAATATTTAGCTCTAGACTGAGTGCTGCTCTGGACCCACCTGAAAAATCATAAGAGCAAGACCTAAAAAAATCAAATTGTTTCCAAGTAACTTGATTGTATCTGAGAACAATGCTCAAGAAAATTTATAGGAATACAAAAATATCCAGCACTCAACAAGTTAAAGTTAACAATGTCTGACATCTCACCAAAGATCACCAGCCATGGAAAGGAGAAGGAAAACACAACACATAAAGAGAAGACTAATCAATGAATAGAAATCAACTCAGGACTGACGAAGATGTTATAATTAGCAGAGAAAGACATTAAAACAGCTTTTACATATGTTCACAAGGTTGAGACCTAGAAATATAAAAGAGATTCAAATCAAACACAATAACTAAGATAAAATATACAGTGGATGGGATTAATGACAGATTGGACATTGAAGAAGTTTAGTGAATTTGAAGGAATAGCAATAGAAACTATCCAAAATAAAATACATGGAGAAAAAAGAACATATTTTAAAAAGAAAAAAAATTAGTGAGTAGTACAACTTCAAGCAGCCTCATGTACGGGCAATTGGAGTTCACAAATCAGGGAGGCTATAGAAAAAATGACTGAGGAAATAAAGGCAAAAAACTTTTCAAATGTAATAAAACCATAAACCCACAAATTCAGAAAATTCAATGAACCCTAGGCATAAGGAACATGAAGAAAACTATACCAGGGTATATTATAATCAAATTGCACAATTGTGGTAATAAAGAGAGAATCCTAAAAGCAGCAAAGGGAAAAAACATGATTAACACAGAGAAACAAAGATAAGAAAGACATCAGATTTTTAGTTAGAAACAAGGTAAGTCGGTAAAGCAACATCATAAAGGACTGAAATATAAAAACTCTCAACCAGAATTCTATACCTGGTGCATCAGTTTCCTAGGGCTGCCATAGCAGAGTAACACAAACTGGGTGGTTTAAAACAACAGAAATGTATTTTCTCACAGTTCTGCAGGCCAGATTCCAAAATCAAGTCTGAAATAGAGGTGATGAGGGAGCCATGCTCCTTCTGAAGCTCTAAGGAAGAATCTTTTCTTATCTTCCCAGATTTGTAGTGGATGCAGACAGATTACACATAACTCTAATCTCTGCTATTATCTTCACAAAGCCATCTTCTGTCTCCCTACTTTGTGTGTGTGTGAGTGTGTGACAGAGAGTAAGTGTTTGTGTCTCCGAATCTCTCTCTCCTTATAAGGACACCAGTTATTGGATTTAAAGCACGTGTAATCAATATGACTTCATCTTAATTTGATTAAATCTGTAAAGACCCTATTTCCAAATAAGGCTACAGTCACAGGTGCTAGGGCTTAGGACATTCACACATCTTTTGTAGGGACACAACTCAATACACACCACCTGACAAAAATATCTTTCGAAAATGAAGATAAAGATTTTTTTCAAAGGTACAAAACTAAAAGAATCTGTCACAGCAGACCTGCACTATAAGAAATGTTCTGTATTAAATAATGTCCTTTAGTTGGAGAGACCATCATACCAGATAGAAATCTAGATGTATATAAGGAAAGGAAGCATACAGAAATAGTAACTACATGGGTAAATAAGGCCAATTCTTTTTTTAACTATTATTTAAATCTCTTTAAAGGTATGAAAATCATAACAATTATTGTATTGTTTATAACATATATTCAAGTAGAATCTTTGAAAAAATAGCAGAAGGTCAGGAAGGGAAGTATCCTAGTATAAGATTCACGTATTTATATATTATATATACATATAACACACTTTTACCTTGAAAAGTAAAAGATTTACAGTATAAATCCTTAAACAATCCCTAAATTAATAAACAAGGAGTTATGGCTAATAAGCAAACAAAGGAGATTATTGGGATAATTTTTTAAATACTTGATGAATCCAAAAAAGTCCGGAACAAAAGATAACTATCCAACTCACATGATAATGGCATTAATCCATTCATAAGAGCAGAACCATCATGACCTCATCACCTCTTAAAAGCTCCACCTCTTTATACTGTTACAGTGGCAATTAGGTTTGCAACACATAAATTTTAGGGAACATTCAAACCATCACTTTAGGGAAATGGTAATCAAAACTACAATGATATGTCACTTCACACCCATCAGGATGGCTATTATTTAAAAAAGAAAAAAACAGAAAAATAACAAATATTGGCAAAGACGTGGAAAAACTCGAACTCTTCTGCATTGCTGGTAGAAATGTAAAATGGTGCAGTGACTGTGGAAAACACTATGTCAATTCCTCAAAAAATTAAATATAGAATTATGATATGATCTAGCAATTTCACTTGTGTGCATATACCCAAAAGAAATGAAAGCAGGGCCTTGAACAGATATTTGTATATCCATGTTCATACCAGCATTATTAACAACAGCCAAAAGGTGGAAGCAATTAAAGTGTCCATTAATGTGTGGACAGATAAACAGAATGTGGTACATACAAAGAAATATTGTTCAGCCTTAAAAAGAAAGGAAATTTTGACACATGCTATGAGGTTACTATGCTAAGTAAAATAAGTCAGATGCAAAAGTAAAAATATATGATTCCATTTACATGAGGTTCTAGAATAACTTAAATTTTGTCAAATTCATAGAGACAGAAAAGCAGAATAGAATGACAGTTACCAGGGGCTTTAGGGAGTGGAGAATGGGAAATTAATGTTTAATCAGTACAGAATTTCTATTGGGAAAGAAAAAAAGTTCTAGAGATGGATGGTGATGATGATTGCACAACAATGTGAATGTACTTAATGATACAGAACTGTATAACTTAAAATGGTACTTTTTATGTTATGTATTTTTACCACAATAAAAAAGCAAGGTTCACCTATATGCTGCCTACAGGAAATACACTTTAAACAAAAAGACACAAGGTAAAAAGTAAAACAATGTAAATACCTACACACACTATATTAGTCTATTCTCACACTGCTCTCCAGAAATACCTGAGCCAAAAGCAATTCAACAAAAGCAAAAATTGACAAATCGTATCTAATTAAACTGAAGAGCTTCTGCACAGCAAAAGAAACTATCCGAGTGAACAGACAACCTACAGAATGGGAGAAAACTTTTGCAATCTATTCATCTGGCAAAGGTCTAATATCCAGAATTAAGGAACTTAAATTTACAAAAAAAAAAAGGATTAAAAAGTGGGCAAAGGACATGAACAGACACCTCTCAAAGGAAGACATACATGCCACCGACAAACACGAAAAAGAGCTCAACATCACTGATCATGAGAAAAATGCAAATCAATACCACAATGAGATACCATCTCACACCAGTCAGAATGGCTATTATTAAGAAGACATAAAACAACAGAAGCTGGCAAGGTTGCCAAGAAAAATAAATGCTTTTACACTGTTGGTAGAAATGTAAATTAGTTTAACCGTTGTGAAGACAGTGTGGCCATTCCTCAAAGACCTACAGGCAGAAATACCATTTGATCCAGCAATCCCATTACTGGGCATATACCCAAAGAAACATAAATAATTCTATTATAGGGACACATGCTCATATATGTTCATTGCAGCATGATTCACAATAGCAAAGACATGGAATCAATATAAATATCCATCAACAATAGACTGGATAAAGAAAATGTGGTACATATACACCACATAATACCACGAGGTCATAAAAAGGAACGACATCATGTCCTTTGCAGGGACATGGATGGAGTTGGAAGCCATTATCTTCAGCAAACTAATGCAGGAACAGAAAACCAAACACCATGTGTTCTCACTTATAAGTGGGAGCTGAATGATGAGAACACATGGACACATGGAGGGGGACAACACACACTGGGGTCTGTTGGAGGAGGGTGGTGGGGTGAGGGAGAGCATCAGGAAGCATAGCTAATGGATGATGGGCTTAATACCTAGGTGATGGGATGATTTGTGCAGCAAACCACCATGGCACATGTTTACCTATGTAACAAATCTGCACATCCTGCACATGTAGCCCTGAACTTAAAATAAAAGTTGAAGAAAACAAAAAAGAAATACCTGAGACTGGGTAACTTATAAGAAGAGAAGTTTCACTGGCTCATTGTTCTGCAGGCTGTACAGGAAGCATGGTGGCATCTGCTTCTGGGGAAGCCTCAGGGAGCTTTTACACATGGCAGAAGGTAAAGTAGGAACAGGCACTTCAGGAACAAGAGAGAGGACGGGGAGGTGCCACACATTTTTAAATGATCAGACCTTGGCAGAACTCAGCACCAACGGATGATACTAAACCACTCATGAGAAATCCACCTCCATGATCCAATCACCTCCCACCAGGCTCACCTCCAACATTCAGGATTATATTACAACATTAGATTTGGGCAGGGACACACATCCGAACTATATCTCACGCACACGTAAACACACACACACCGTGCTATCACCAGTAAGAAGAAAGTGGCAGTGGCTATATTAATGTCAGAAAAAAATATAGTTTAGAGCAAAAAAGATTAAAAAGGACATTTCATAATGACAAGAAGGTAAATTAATGAGAAATATGTAACAATCATAAATATTTAAGCACCTTATAACAAGTGACTTTCAAAATACATGAAGCCAAAACTGATAGTAATGTGAAGAGAAATAGATAAATCCATAATTATGGTTGGAGATTTTGATATCTTCTCAATAACTAATAGAATAAGTATAAAACTCAACAAGGATAGAGTAGACTAGGAAAATACTATCAATCAACTCGAGTTGATTGATATTTATAGAACACCATGCCCAATAATATCAGAATATATATTTTTCTCAAAATCCTATGAAACATTTGCCAAGATAGACCATATTCTGAAACATGAGATAGATCTTAATATATCAAAAAGGATTCAAGTTATACAAAATATGTTCTCTGACCACAATGGAATTTTTAAAAATCAGTAATGGAAATACCCTTAGAAAATTCCCAAATCATTGAAAGCTAATTAAAACACTAAATAACTCATGAATCCAAAAAGTAAATAAAAATGGAAATTTGAAAGTATTTTGAACTAAAGATGAAAACACAACATATCAGATGTCATTAAACCAATACTTAACAGGAAATTTATAGCACTCAATCCAGATACGAAAAAATAAAGGAATGTTTCAAATAAATGAATTTCAGCTTCTACCTTAAGAAACTAGCAGCAAAAGAGCAAATAAAACCAAAGTATGCAGAAAAAATCATATAATAAAAGTCAAAGTGGAAATTAAAGAAATAAAAAACAGAAAAGTAGAGAAAATTGATGAAACCAAAAACAGTTCTTTGAAATCAATAAAGCCTGTAGGCAGATAGATCAGAAAAAAAGACACAAATTACCAACATCAGAAATGAAAGAGGTGACATCACTACAGATTCTACAAATATTAAAAGAATAATATGGGAGAAAAGGAAGGGCAAGACTACAAACTAGAAAGGATGGGGTGGGGGTGAGGAGGGGAGGGAAGGGAAGTGGGGGAGAGAAGCGATCGCAAGAGAAATACAAACTCCCAAAACAAAAGGCAAAGATTGCATTAGGAGCGAACAGCGCTGCAGAAATAGATGGCAGCTTCGTTTGACTGAAACAAAACAAAAGGGCCACTGGATGTCTGCCTTCTTTGGGGGTCAGCCAGACACTAACAAACAGCCCCAATTGTGTTCGGGGGAGGGTTTCGCCTCCGGTTTTGCTCGGCAGCAGCAGCAGGGACGTGTTGGCTAGTTGTAGTATATTCCAGGAGCTACAACTTGTCCACGACACCGGCTACTTCTCAGCTTTGCCATCCCTGGAGACCTGGCAGCAGGAATAAGTGGAAAAAAGGAAGTCCAGAAGCCTTACTTCCAGGATATCCTGGAAGATATTTACTTGTGGGAGTGGAGACCCCCGAGGGAAACACGGGATAAAAGAAAGGGTCCCCTAAGGAGAATAGAGACTGAGAGAAGAGGGAATATTCCAGAGGAGACAGGCCTTGAATTGGAACGCTACCTACAGACGGAGCCCAGAAGGATCTCGGAGACCTTTGGTGAGGACTTGGCCTGTTTGCTCCACCCTTCTCCTCCCCGGTGCATTGAGGAAAGCTTCCGTAGCTTAGACCTCCTGCTGCTCCCCGTGGAAGCGGCCATCTGTCAGAAGAGCTCAGCAGTCTTGCTCTCTCGGGGCAAGTTGCTATCTGAGACCTGCCTCAGCCTCCAGCCGCCAACTCTTCTCTAGACAGCTACACAGCTGTCAACCAGGTCCAGCTCAACACAATGACCTCATTAATGCCCCCACTGTCCCCTGAGCTCAGCCACCATCTGGTCAAAACCTCACAAACTCTCTCTGCCGTGGATGGCACGGTGACGTTGAAACTCGTGGCCAAGAAGGCTGCTCTCATCTCCGTAAAGGTGGGAGGGGTCACAACAGCTTCAGCAGCTGTGATGGTGCCAGGGCCGTTAAGAGTGGACAGAGCGACAGTGACCAAGGAGGGCTAGGGGCTGAAGCATGTCCTGAAAACAAGAAGAGGGTTCACTGCTGTCAGTTTAACGGGTGCCAGGAAGTTTATACAAAAAGCTCCCCCTTAAAGGCCCATCAGGAGACTCACACAGGTGAGAAGCCTTACAGGTACTCATGGGAGGGATGCTAGTGGAGTTTTGCATGAAGCGATGAGCTCACGAGGCACTACGGGAAACACACAGGTGCAAACCTCTTCAAATGCAACCACTGCAACAGGTGTTTTTCTAGGTCTGACCATCTTGCCCTCCCTATGAAGAAACATATCTAAAAAACAGAAAGGCCAGAGTTGCGGTGGCATCAGCCAGTGTCTTAAGGAAATACCATGAGGCAGGGGGCTGGTCTTCAGGTGGAGAACCACTGCCTCTCAGAAGAAAGTTCTCACCTATAAACCTCTATACACACATACACACACTCACATACAGACCCACACACATACACACTGTCATGCACTCAACTGTATTTAAAACATATATGTCTATTCTTTATGCCTTGCCCTAGCTAGATGGAAGATGATGAAGAAGGAAACCAGGTGAACTCAGCAAGGCAGACTGGCTGCTTACTTCAGCACTATTTGAATTATTTCCCGCTGTTGCCAATGGAAATCAAAGTAAATGAATGTGACGTCTCTGCAGGTGAACGGCAGTCTGAGGGGCTTATTTCACTTGCTTCTCAGTGCAACTTGATAGGAGAATTCAGCATCTTAAAGTTGTATATGTGTAGCACTAAAGTTTGTTTTTAAATAGTTGGGGGAAAATGACCTAGAAAACCAAATTGCAGTTTGGTAGCCAAAATTAACTCTTGATTTATTTGTCCTTTGTGTGTGAAAAGTCCTACTATTCCATGGTTCAGACTCCCTCACAGAACTGTTGAGTGGTTTTGGTTCTTCTTAGTACTACTGAGATCTTTCGCGTCAATCCCAAAGGCTTTAGCGGCAGCAGACTCTGGAATAACACCTTACACCCTTCTGGCCTGCATTTCTGTAGACTTCACTCTCAAAGGAGGAGTTTTCTTCTCTTACTTTTTGACTCTTGCACACCATATGCCCTAGGGGTTCTGGAAACTTCTAGCATGACTGCAAAGTGGTGAAGAGAATAAAGTCCTTGATGATAAATCACAGTATATCCCTTGAGCCTCACCTTACTGCCAGTGCTAGATTTTTTCTTTTTAATCTCTCCATTTTTGCCAATGAAAACTTGAAAAGCTTATTTTGAAGCTTAAGTGTTTTATCTTTTCTCCACGGACTAAACCTCTCCAGGACTCTGTCGGTACCTGGATGTTCAGCTCTCGAAATAGACAATCACAGTTCTCTCATCCTCCTTGAGGCATAATGACCTCAGCTCACAGCGATCAACTGTTATGCTGGGTGTCATTGCTACCCCATCACCAGTTAAAGCATAGATGTCGCTAGTCTCAGAGGGCAGCTGTGTATTTAACTCTGGTTTATGATGTGACAAAAAGCCAAAAATATCACTCTTTCCAGGAGTGGGGAAAACTGAGGATGCCTCCCAAGTCTAGTGGCTTCACAAAACATCATCCTATCTTCTCTCTCATGCCCACTGAGCTCCTATTCCTCCATTTGTTACAACACACAATTTAAAATGCCATTGTGAGAGTGAAGGGTTGACATTCAAGAAAAAGGTTGAGGTGTTTCTCTCATGGGCTTTCTAAAAGGAGAGACACGTTTCTTTCTTTTTTTTTTTTTTTTCTTTTTTTGCTAGGCCTACCATGACTTGTGACCTAGAATCCTCAGGATTAACAGAGGCCCCACATTTACTCTGCAAGCTGACTCCAAAAGAGGCTACAGTCCTTACGTTTCATACCACACACACACATCCAATACTGGTCTCTTATCTACCCGCATTCCTAGCTAACTGGTACTGGCCTCAACTCCAAAGACTGCCTTTAGGACCATCAAATGGCCTATGCAAGCAAGTAAGGTGGTTATTAGGACAGATTGTATATTTTATATATTCTGGGACCATCCCTTCAAGACACGTCATGTAAAATAAAAATGGCGCTTGGTCCACACACAGTTGCTGCTCCCTCCTACCAGCTGGCTCCCCTCCTGTCCTCCTTTGACTGTTTGACTCATTGACTGTTAAAATGCCACCCCATACATATTTGGGATGCAAAACTGAAGTCAAAACGAAATAATAATATAAGAAACACAAACACATATATGACAGCAACCTTCAAGATCTGGGTTTTCAGCTTTCTGCAGCCTTTGTTTTCACTGAAATGTTGAAACTACTCGTCTGAGGGCAAAGGAACCTCCTCACAAATGCTGTAGCTGCCAATTGGACACTTGGGGCATTTCGAGGTCTGGCCTCAACAATTTTCTTCCTCGTTTTCCTTTTTTCTATTTAGACCAAAAACAAACAAACAAACAAAAAATACAAAACAACAAAAAAAGAAAAAACACTCTTAACACACACACAAACACCCTTCACACACACACACACACACACACACACAAATCTGTCCATTTGCCAGAGGCAATTAAATGTATGTTAGTTGGAGGATATTTAAAAAAATCAGTTTTATTCCAAAGATTTAAAACTAGACATGACTTAAAAACAATTTCTGGAGCACTGCTTGCTGACAATCTCATAATTCTCTACTGTATTTGAGTGCATTTTGTGGCCAGTCCATCAGGGCGTACCACGGGATTATATTTGAATGTGTGGTGCATCCTTCCTGGATGAAGGATGTGTGAGGGACCTTGAACCTCAGCTGTATTAAACTGTAGCACCTCCAGTCAGTGCACTAGACGAAACTTTAGATACCCTGAATTCTGTTGGTTCCTTTCTTTTCCTTTATGTAGCAGCCTCCAGCATGAATGCACGCACACACCAGTGATGGCATTAAGCCGTGGCCGTTCCGATTTGCAAATGTTCTCTTCCAAGCTGGAGCTGCTCTTGCCTCTCAAAATGCTATTATTAAGGGTTTATAATACTTAATTTAATTTTTGAACTGACCAATGCAAGTCTCTATTAAAAAGAAAGTTTTAAAAAATAGAATAATATGAAAGATTATGAACAAGTTTATGCCAATAAATCCAACAATTTCCAAATTAGTTGGAAGGCAAATTACCAAAACTCATGCAAGAAGAAGTTTAAAACTTGAATTACCCTTATTATCTATTTTAAAAATCAATAATATAGTTTAAAACCTTCCCTAAAAGAAAATTCAAGGCTCAAATGACTTCACCGGTGAATTCTACCATGCATTTAAGGAAGAAATAATATCTATTCTGCACAAACTCTTTCAAAAAATTGAAAAGGAAGTAATACTTCCCAATTCATTCTATGAAGCTAGCATTACCCTGACATCAAACCAGATAAAGCTATTATAAGCAAACTATAGACCAGCGGTGTCAATCTTTTGGCTTCCCTGGGCCACTCATAAAATACACTAACGATAGCTGATGAGTGAAAAACAACAACAAAAACTGCAAAAAATCTCATGTTTTAAGAAAGTTTACAAATTTGCCTTGGGCTTCATTCAAAGCTGTTCTGGGCTGCATGCAGCCCGTGGGCCATGGATTAAACAAGCTTGCTATAAACCAATATCCCTCATGAACACAAACACAAAAATTATAAACAAAAGTTTCAGCAAATTGAATCCAATGTTCTTTTAAAATACACACACATACCTGGTTTTGTTGTCCTTTGCTTTATTGTGCTTTGCAGATATTGATTTTTCTTTTACAAATTAAAGGTTTGTGACAACGCTTAGTTGAGCAAGTCTATCAGTGGCATTCTTCCAGCAGTATGTGCTCACTTTATGCTTCTATGTCACATTTTGGTAATTCTCACAATATTTCCAATTTTTTTATTATTATATCTGTGCTACAGTTTGAATGTTTGTCACCTCTACAACTCATGTTGAAACATAATCCCCATTGTGGCAGTATTGAGAGCTGGACCTTTTAGAGGTGATTAGGTCATGAGGGTTCTGCTCTTATAAGTAGATTAATCCATTCATGAATTAATGGGTTACTGGATTCACTGATTATTACAATACTGGAACTGAAGACTTTATAGGAAGAGGAAAAAACACCTGAGCTAGAACACCTAGCCTCCTCGCCATGTAATGCTCTGTACCACCTTGGGACTCTGTAGAGTCCCTACCAGAAAGAAGACCCTCACCAGATAAGTCTTCTCGATGTTGGATTTCTCAGCCTCCATAAGTGTCAGAAATAAATTCTTTCTCCTTATAAATTACCCAGTTTCAGGTATTCTGTTATAAGCAACAGAAAACAGACTCAGACAATCTATTATGGTGATCTATGATCAGTGATTTTTAATGCTACTGTGTCCGGAATTGGTGGGTTCCTGGTCTCACTGATTTCAAGAATGAAGCCATGGACCCTCGCAGTGAGTGTTACAGTTCTTAAAGATGGTGTGTCCGGAGTTTGTTCCTTCTGATGTTTGGACGTGTTTGGAGTTTCTTCCTTCTGGTGGGTTCCTGGTCTCGCTGGCTTCAGGAGTGAAGTTGCAGACCTTTACAGTGAGTGTTACAGCTTTTTTTTTTTTTTTTTTTTTTTGAGATGGAGTTTCACTCTTGTTGGCCAGGCTGGAGTGCAATGGCACAATCTCGGCTTACTGCAACCTCCGCCTCCCGGGTTCAAGCGATTTTCCTGCCTCAGCCTCCTGAGTAGCTGGGATTATAGGCATGCGCCACCATGCCCTGCTAATTTTTTGTATTTTTAGTAGGGATGGGGTTTCTCCATGTTGGTCAGGCTGGTCTCGAACTCCCGACCTCAGGTGATCCACCCGCCTCGGCCTCCCAAAGTGCTGGGATTACAGGCATGCGAGCCACCGTGCCCGGCTGTGTTACAGCTCTTAAGGCAGCACGTCTGGCGTTGTTCGTTCCTCCCGTCCAGAGTTGTTCATTCCACTCGGCGGGTTCATGGTCTTGCTGGCTTCAGGAGTGAAGCTGTGGACCTTCACAGTGAGTGTTACAGCTCATAAAGGCAGTGCTGACCCAAAGAGTGAGCAGCAGCAAGAGTTATTGCAAAGAAGGAAAGAACAAAGTTTCCACAGTGTGGAAGGGGACCCGAGCAGGTTGCCCCTGCTGGCTCAGGCAGCCTGCTTTTATTCCCTTATCTGACCCCACCCATATCCTGCTGCTTGGCCCATTTTACAGAGAGCTTATTGGTCCGTTTTAGAGAGCTGATTGGTTTGTTTTGACAGGGTGCTGACTGGTGCATTTACAATCCCTGAGCTAGACACAGAGTGCTGATTGGTGTATTTACAATCCTCTAGCTAGACATAAAAGTTCTCCTAGTCCCCACCAGATTAGCCAGATACAGAGTGCTGATTGGTGCATCCACAAACCCCAAGCTAGACACAGAGTGCTGATTGGTGCATATACAATCCTCCAGCTAGACATAAAAGTTCTCCAAGTCCCCACCCGACACAGTAGCCCAGCTGGCTTCACCTAGTAGATCCCGCACCAGGGCCGTGGGTGGAGCTGCCCACCAGTCCTGCCCCAAGTGCCTGCACTCCTCAGCCCTTGGGCAGTCGATGGGACCAGCCTCCGCAGAGCAAGGGGCAGTGCCCATCGGGGAGGCTTGGGCCTCAAGGGAGCCCACCACAGGTGGGCTTGGGCAAGGCAGGCTGGAGGTCCCAAGCCCTGCCCCGTGGGGAGGCAGCTGAGGTGAGGCCTGGCGAGAATTCAAGCACAGCATGGGCAGGCCGGCAGTGCTGGGGGACCTGGTGCCCCCTCCACTGCTGCCGGCCCGGGTGCTAAGCCCCTCAATGCCCGGGGCCGGCAGTGCCAGCCGGCCACTCCAAGTGTGGGGCCTGCCAAGCCCACGCCCACCTGGAACTCATGCTGGCCTGCGAGTGCTGCACGCAGCCCCGATTCCCGCCTGCGCCTCTCCCACCACACCTCCCTGCAAGCAGAGGGGGCCAGCCCAGAGAGGGGCTCCCACAGTGCAATGGCAGGCTGAAGGGCTCCTCACGCGTGGCCAGAGCAGACGCCAAGGCCAAGGAGGCGCCAAGAGTGAGCGAGGGCTGCTAGCATGTTGTCACCTCTCACTACTATGGTAATTGTTTTGAGGCATGACAAACTGCCCCCATATAAAACAGCAAACTTAATCGATAACGACTGTGTTTACCTGACTGCCCCATCAACTGGCTGTTCCTCCCTCCCTCTCTCCTCTCTCCCCCTCTCACCTCCCCTCTCCCCTCCCTCCTCTCTCCTCTCTCTCTCTGTTTCCCTCCCTCTCTCCTCTCCCCTCTCTCCCCCCTCACCTCCCCTCTTCCCTCCCTCCTCTCTCCTCTCTCTCTCTCTGTCTCCCTCTTTCCTTAGCCCTCCCTATTCCTGAAAAACAGTATTTAAATTAGGCCAATTAATAACCCTACCATGACTACTCAGTTTTCAAGTGAAAGGAAGTCACACATATCTCACTTTAACTCGAAAGCTAGAAATAACTAAATTTAGTGATGAAGGCATGCCAAAAGCTGAGACAAGTCAAAAGCTAGTCCTCCTGCATCAAACAGGTAGTCAAGTTGTGAATGCAAAGGAAAAGTTCTTGAAGGAAATTAAAAGTGCCACTCCAGTGAACACATGAATGGTAAGAAAGCAAATCAGCCTCCTTGTGGATATGGGGAAATTTTTAGTGGTCTAGATAGAAGATCAAACAACCCACAAAATTCCCTTTAAGACAAAGGCTAATCCAGAAAAAGGCCCTACCTCTCTCATTTCTAAAAGTATAAACTAGAAAACCTAGAGGAAATGCATAAATCCCTGGAACATAAAACTTCCCAAGATTAAACCAGAAGAAAATAGAAACCCTGAACAGACCAATAATGAGTAATCAAATTGATGCTGTAATAAAAATTATTCCAACAAAAAAGCCCAGGACCACATGGATTCACAGCCAAATTTTACCAGATGTACAAAGAAGTCTGGTATCAATCTTACTGAAATTATTCCAAAAAATCAAGAAGGAAGGATTCCTCCCTAACTCATTTTATGAAGCCAGTATCACCCTCATACCAAAATCAGGCAAGAACACAATAAAAGAAAACTAAGGTCAATATCCCTGATGAATAATAGATGCAAAAATCCTCAACAGAATACTAGCAAACTGAATCCAACAGCACATCAAAAATATAATACATCATGATTAAGTGGGATGCAAGGATTTTATTCTAGGGATGCAAGGCTGCTTAAACATACACAAATCAATAAGTGTGATTCATAACATAAACAGAATTAAAAACAAAAACTATATGATTATCTCAATAGATGCAAAGAAGGTATTCAATAATATCCAACATTCCTTCATGATTAAAACCCTCGACAATCTAGGCACTGAAGGAACATACCTCAAAATAATAAAGGCTATGTAGGACAAACCCACCATCAACATCATACTGAATGGGGAAGAGTTCAAAGCATTCCTCCTAAGAACTGGAATAAGAAAAGGGTGTGCATCCCCACCACTTCTATTCAACATAGTACTGGAAGTCCTAGCCAGAGCAATTAGGCAAGAGAAAGAAATAAAGTGCATCCAACTTGAAAAAGAAGAAATCAAATTATCTCTATTCACTGATGACATGATCTTATACCTAGAAAACTCTAAAGACTCCTCCAAGAGACTCCTAGACTTGAAAAAAAAGAAGTTTCAGGACACAAAACCAACATACAAAAATCAGGAGCATTTCTATGTACCAAAAACGTTCAATCTGAGAATGAAATAAAAAACTCAATTCCATTTACAATGCATACATACACATACACAGAGGACCTAGGAATACATTTAATCATTTAACCAAGGAGGGAGAGATCTCTACAAGGAGAAATACAAAACACTGATGAAATAAATTATAAATGACATAAACAAATGGAAAAATATCTCATGCTCATGGATTGGAAGAATCAATATTGTTAAAATGACCATACTGCCCAAAGCAATATATAGAATCAATGCAATTCCTATCAAGTTACCAATGTCATTTTTAACAGCATTAGAAAAAAAAAATCCTAAATTCATATGGAACCAAAAAAAGTATAAATAGCTAAAGCAATCCTAAGCAAAAAGAACAAAGCTGGAGGTATCACATTACCTGACTTCAAATTATACTACAAGGTTATAGTAAGCAAAACAGCATAGTACTGGTATAAAAACCATATAGATCCATGGAACAGAATACAGAGCCCAGAAATAAATCCACATACCTACAACCAATTGATCTTTGATAAAACACACAGTTGGGAAAAAAACATCCTATTCAAGAAATGATGCTGGAAAAATTGACAAGCCATATGCAGAAGAATGAAACTGGACTTGTATTTCTCATCATACACTAAAAATTAACTCAAGATTAAATAAAGACTTAAATGTAAGACCCTAAACTATAAAAATCCTAGAAGAAACCCTGTAAACACTCCTCAGGTCATTGGCCTAGGCAAATAATTTATAACTACAACATCAAAAAGCAAATGCAACAAAAACAAAAATAGACAAATGGGACTATATTAAATTAAAAAGCTTCTGCAGAGTAAAAACAATAATCAACAGAGTCAACAGACAACCTATAGAGTGGGAGAAAATATTTCCAAACTGTGCATGTATCAAAGGACTAATATTGAGAATCGTCAAGGAACTCAACCATATCAACAAGAAAAACACAATCCCATTAAAAAGTGGGTAAAGGACATGAACAGATATTTCTCAAAGGAAGATGCATAAGTGGCGAAGAAACATGAAAAAATGCTCAACGTCACTAAGCAGAAAAATGCAAGTTAAACCCACGTAATGGTTAATAATGAGTGTCAACTTGATTGGATTGAAGGATGCAAAGTATTGTTCCCGGGTGTGTCTGTGAGGGTGTTGCCAAAGAAGATTAACATTTGAGTCAGTGAACTAGGAAAGGCAGACCAACCCTTAATCTGGGTGGGCAAAATCTAATCAACTGCCAGTGCAGCCAGAATAGAAGCAGACAAAAGAACGTGAAAAGACCAGTCTGGCTTAGCCTCCCAGACTACATCTTTCTCCCGTGCTGATGCTTCCTTCCCTCGAACATCAGACTCCAAGTTCTTTTGCTTTGAGACTCAGACTGGCTTCCTTGCTCCTCAGCTTGCAGATGACCTATTTTAGGACCTTGTGTTAGTTAATACTCCTTCATAAACTCCCATGTATATATATGGGATATATAACAGGATATATATATGGGATATATATGGGATATATAACAGGATATATATATATATGGGATATGTAACAGGATATATATATATATATGGGATATATAACAGGATATATATATATTTATAAATAAATATATATATATCCTGTTAGTTCTATCCCTCTAGAGAACCATGACTAATATGACCCACAATGAGATGCTATCTCACACAAGTCAAAATGACTATTATTAAAAAGTCAAAAAATAACAATGTTGGTATGAATGTGGAGAAAAGGGAACACATACATTACTGGTTCAAGGGTAAATTAGTACAACCTCTATAGAAAACAGTATGGAGATTCCCCAAATAACTAAAGTAGAACCACCATTCAACCCAGGAATCCTACTACTGACTAACTAAAGTAGAACCACCATTCAACCCAGGAATCCTACTACTGACTACTGGGTATCTACTCAAAGGGAAAAAAAATCATTATATAAAAATGACACTTGCACTCATGTTTATTGCAGCACTATTCACAATAACAAAGTCATGAATCAACCCAAGTGTCCATCCACAGATGAGCAGAGAAAGAAAATGTGGTAAATATACACCATGGAATACTATGCAGCCATAAAAAAAGAATGAAATCATGTCCTTTGCAGTCGAGGATGGAGCTGGAGGTCATCCTCCTAAATAAAATAACCCAAAAACAGAAAACCAAATAATATATGTTCTCACTTATAAGTGGGAGCTAAATGATGGGTACACCTGGATATAAAGATGAATATAATAGACACTGGGGACTCCAAAAGCGGGCAGGGAGAGATGAGGGTAAAGGTTGAGAAATTAAGTGTTCGGCAGGGCGTGGTGGCTCACGCCTGTAATCCCAGCACTTTGGGAGGCCGAGGCAGGTGGATCACCTGAGGTTGGGAGTTCGAGAACAGCCTGACCAACATGGAGAAACCCCGTCTCTACTAAAAATACAAAAGTAGCCAGGTGTGGTGGTGCATGCCTGTAATCCCAGCTACTCTGGAGGCTGAGGCAGGAGAATGGCTTCAACCCGGGAGGCGGAGGTTGCAGTGAGCCGAGATCGTGCCATTGCACTCCAGCCTGGGCAACAAGAGCGAAACTCCGTCTCAAAAAAAAAAAAAAGAGAAATTAAGCGTTGGGTCCAATGTTCACTATTTGGGTTATGGGCACACTAGAAGCCCAAACCTCACTATTACATAATATATCCATGTTATAAAACTGCATATGTACCCCCTGAATCTAAAATAAAATAAATATAAATGTTCAATTTATCAAAATTACCAATATAAAACCTTTGTTTTTAAGCTTTTTTCTCCCTGAGTTTTTTTATTTAGGTAAAATTTACTATACTACAGTGAAATGCACATCTTTATTTTACAAACTGATGACTTTTAATAAATGTATACACTCAAGTAATTCACACCTGTCAAGATACAGAATATTTCCATCACCCAAGGGAGTACTCTCATGCCCCTTTCCAGACCATACACCACCCCCTCACCCAGAGAAAACAATTTTTCTGATTTTTTTTTCACTATACTTTTGCCTATTCTGGAACATCAGATAAAGTACATTACAGTATAAATTATTTTGTTTGGGTTCTTTCACACATTCATGTTGTGGCTGTCAGTTTGCTGCATTTTATTGCTGAGTAGTGCTCCATTTTATGAATACAATACAGTTTGTTTATCCAATGAAGATAAATATTGATGGACATTTGGATTAGTTCCAGTTTTTGGCTATTATGAGTTAAGGTGCTGTAAACATTCATGTACAAGCCTTTTTATACACATATAATTTATAGATATATAATTTCATTTTTCTTGGGTAAATACCTAAAATTGGCATTGTATAAGAAACTGCCAAACCTTTCCAAGTGGTTGTACCATTTTATAATCTCACCAGCAATGTATGAATTATATTAATATTAATGTATCTTGATCAACATTTTATCTTTTCAGTCTTTTCATTTTAATCATCTGGTGAGTCAATAGTGTTTTTTCATTGTGATTTCACTTTTGAGTTTCTCTAATAATGAATGATATTAAGCACCTCAAGCTCTTTATTTTGTTGTTCAAAGTGTTCCAGCTTTGGCCATTGGAAGCTGTTTTAGTTTGCTTTTGTGCTCTTATAAAGTATCCTTATAAAGGTAGGTGTGTCATTTGGTTTTTTGTTTGTTTTGAGCACTTCCTTACATTCTGTTACCACAGGATGTTCTTGGCTAATCTTGAGTATTTCCTGCCCCAGTTCTGGAATCAGCCATTTCTCCAAGTCCTGATTCCTTTTATTAGAGAATGTTATTAGAAACTAGAATCTAGAGACCACGTTTGCTCATTGCTACTGGGATATTGTTGCTTCTAAGCTGTCTTAGCTGACAGAGCAAGAATATATGTGTGTGTGTGTACTAACCTGTGCAATACATGTATCTATAAATATTTCTGCTTGCAACTATCTGTAGATCTATTTAGCTAAACATGAGTTCATACATATGTCGCCAACTCTTATACAGTACCACATAGATCATTCTAATCTCCTCTTCCAGCTTATCTGTAGATTCTCACTCCAGCAGTGAGAAAACTGGCTCGTACCCTGCATCATCCATTTACTTAATTGTTCAATTCCAGTATAGATACATAGTAGTATTAGAATTGTTAATCCATATCCTCATGGAAAACATCTTTATCAACTAGAGTACAGTGCTTATATGCAGTTCCTATCGTATTTAGTCTTACAGACTTCACTCATTTCCATAGTTATCTAGGTTGTCACCTTCCCCACCACCTTTACTGAGGTTGTTTTATATATTTGTGATACAGATTCTCTTGTCATATATGCATTCCTTCTTGGATACCCCAATCTCTTAAATGATTTTCTTAAATTGCATACATTGAGTTTCACACTAGTGTTGTAAAGTTGTATGGGTTTTGACAAATGCATGCCACGTATCTACCATGCCAGTATCATAGAGGATAGTTTCACAAACCTAAACTTTAACTAGTCAACTATTAAACTTTCCACTATTCAACTAAAACTAAAACTAAACTTCAACTATTGAACTCTCCCTACGTCCCCCTAAACTCTTGCTAACAACTGACTTTTACTAACTCTTTAGTTTTGCCTATTCCAAAAAGTCTTATAATCAGAATTATGCAGTATGTAGCCTTTTCAGACTGGCTTCTTTCACTTAGCATTATGCATCTAAAGCTCATCTGTACATTTTTCATGGCTTGATACATCATCTTTTACCACTGACTAAGATTCCATTGTATGGATATACCATAGTTGGTTTATCCATTCACCTATTGAAAAGTTATCTTGGTGGCTATATATATTTTCTTTCTTATTTTCTCCCAGTATAGCTTGGCTACTCATTTTGATAAAAAAGTTTTATATTTGATTAATTTTAACATATGTCTTCTTTTATGGTTATTCCTTTCTATGACTTGTCTAAAAATTCTTTGCCCTCTCCCATGGTGCAAAGATATATCCTTATGTTTCCTTCTGTAAGTTTTATTTCATGTTTATGTTCATAATCTTTCAATTAATATTTATTATTATAAGTGGTTCCTTCTATTAAAAAAATCAAATGTTTTATTGTTTGTTGCTAACATATAGAAATATAATTGATTTTCCTACTGGCTGTCTTATACTCACTTATTAATTCCAGAAAACTTACTTGTTAATTCCAGCCCCCTCTTCATAGATTTCTTGTGATTTACAACATAGATTAACATGTCATCTATGAATAAAAGCAATTTATGTATTTACTTCTGATCTATAGACTTTTATTTTTTTCTTGCCTCTTGCAATAGGTCAAATCTCCAATACAATGTTGAATAAGAGTGGTCATGGTGAATATCCTTGTCTTGTTCCTATTCTTAAAGGGTATGATAGGCAGAATTCTAAAGATGGGCCCTAAGATTCCCATCCCCTGATTATTCAAATACTAGTCCAGATACTGCTGTGTAGAGACTCTGAAGATAAATTTAAGGTTACTAATAAACTAACCTTAAATTAAAGAGATTATTTTGAATTAGCTAAGTGGACCCAATGTAATTACATAAGCCCTTGAGAGTAGAAGAAGAAGGCAGAAGAGTCAATCAGATACATGCTGAAGAAGAGGAAGTAGCAGAGAAAAGATGATGCAGAAAGGGAGGTAAGAAAGATTCAAAGTATAAGGAGGATGTAAGCTGCCATTGCTGGCTTTGAAGATTGAGAAAGGGGCCACAGGAATATGAGTGGTTTCTATAAGCTGAGAACAATCTTCAGCTGACAGTAAGCAAGGAAACAGGGACCCCAGTACCTCAAATGCATGGAATTGGAATCTGCCAACAACCTGACTGAGCTTAGAAGTAGATTCATTTGTAAAGCCTCCAGGAAAACACACACACACACACACACAAAACAGCCCTGTCAATATTTTGAGATGGTCCTGCTGAAATCCTAAGGAGAGCACAAACTGAGTGATGCTGTACACAGGCTTCTGACGTAGAGAACTGTAAGATTAAAAAAATGGATATTGTTTTAGGCAGGGTGCAGTTGCTCACACTTATAATCCCAGCACTTTGAGAGGCCGAGGCAGGAGGATCACGAGGTGAGGAGTTCGAGACCAGCCTAGCCAACACAGTGAAACCCCATCTCTACCAAAAATATAAAAATTAGCTGGATGTGGTGGCGGACACCTGTTAATCCCAGCTACTCGGGAGGCTGAGGCGGGAGAATCAATTGAACCCGAGAGGCAGAGGTTGCAGTGAGCCAAGATTATACCACTGGACTCCAGCCTGGATGACAGAGCTAGACTCTGCCTCAAAAAAAAAAAAAAAAAGCATATTGTTTTAAGACACCACATCTGAAGGGGAGGTTCCAAGATGGCTGAATAGGAACAGCTCCAGTCTACAGCTCCCAGCATGAGCAACACAGAAGACGTGTGATTTCTGCATTTCCAACTGAGGTAGCGGGTTCATCTCACTGGGGCTTGTCGGACAGTGAGTGCAGGACAGTGGGTGCAGCCCACAGATCGTGAGCCGAAGCAGGGCGAGGCATCGCCTCACCCAGGAAGTGCAAGGGGTCAGGGAATTCCCTTTCCTAGCCAAGGGAAGCCATGACACATGGCACCTGGAAAATCAGGTCACTCCCACCCTAATAGTGCGCTTTTCCAATGGTCTTAGCAAATGGCACACCAGGAGATTATATCCTGCGTGCGGCTCAGAGGGTCCCATGCCCACAGAGCCTTGCTCACTGCAAGCACAGCAGTCTGAGACCGAACTGCAAGGTGACAGTGAGGCTGGGGGAGGGGCGCCCGCAATTGCTGAGGCTTGAGTAGGTAAACCAAGCAGCTGGGAAGCTCGAACTGGGTGGAGGCCACCACAGCTGAAGGAGGCCTGCCAGCCTCTGTAGACTCCACCTCTCGGGGCAGGGCATAGCTGAACAAAAGGCAGCAGAAACTTCTGCAGACTTAAACATCCCTGTCTGACAGCTTTGAAGAGAGTAACGGTTCTCCCAACAGAGTGTGAGATCTGAGAAAGGACAGACTGCCTCCTCAAGTGGGTCCCTGACCCCCGAGTAGCCTAACTGGGAGGCACCTCCCAGTAGGGACCAACTGACACCTCATACGGCCGGGTGCCCCTCTGAAACGAAGCTTCCAGAGAAAGGATCAGGCAGCAACATTTGCCGTTCTGCAATATTTGCGGCTCTGCAGCCTCTGCTGGTAATACCTAGGCAAACAGGGTCTGGAGTGGACCTCCAGCAAACTCCAACAGACATGCAGCTGAGGGTCTGACTGTTAGAAGGAAAACTAACAAACAGAAAGGACATCACCACAAAAACCCCATCTGTACGTCACCATCATCAAAGACCAAAGGTAGATAAAACCACAAAGATGGGGAGAAACCAGATGAGAAAAGCTGAAAATTCTAAAAATCAGAGTGCCTCTTCTCCTCCAAAGGAACGCAGCTCCTCACCAGCAACAGAACAAAGCTGAATGGAGAATGACTTTGACAAGTTGAGAGAAGAAGGTTTCAGAAGATTGGTAGTAACAGACTTCTCTGAGCTAAAGGAGGATGTTCGAACCCATCACAAAGAAGCTAAAAACCTTGAAAAAAGATTGGACGAGTGGCTAACTAGAACAAACAGCATAGAGAAGACCTTAAAAGACCTGATGGACCTGAAAACCATGGCACGAGAACTACGTGACGCATGCACAAGCTTCAGTAGCCGATTCGACCAACTGGAAGAAAGGGTATCAGTGATTGAAGATCAAATGAATGAAATGAAGTGAGAAGAGAGTTTAGAGAAAAAAGAGTAAAAAGAAATGAACAAAGCCCCCAAGAAATATGGAACTATGTGAAAAGACCAAATCTACATCTGATTGGTGTACCTGAAAGTGACAGGGAGAATGGAACCAAGTTGAAAAACACTCTGCAGGATGTTATCCAGGAGAACTTCCCCAACCTAGCAAGGCAGGCCAACATTCAGATTCAGGAAATACAGAGAACGCCACAAAGATACTCCTTGAGAACAGCAACTCCAAGACACATAATTGTCAGATTCACCAAAGTTGAAATGAAGGAAACAAATGTTAAGGGCAGCCAGAGAGAAAGGTCGGGTTACCCACAAAGGGAAGCCCATCAGACAAAGAGTGGATCTCTCGGCAGAAACTCTACAAGCCAGAAGAGAGTGGGGGCCAATATTCAACATTCTTAAAGAAAAGAATTTTCAACCCAGAATTTCATATCCAGCCAAACTAAGCTTCATAAGTGAAGGAGAAATAAAATACTTTACAGACAAGCAAATGCTGAGAGATTTTGTCACCACCAGGCCTGCCCTAAAAGAGCTCCTGAAGGAAGCACTAAATTTGGAAAAGAACAACCGGTATCAGCCACTGCAAAATCATGCCAAATTGTAAAGACCATCAATGCTAGGAAGAAAACGCATCAACTAACAAGCAAAACAACCAGCTAACATCATAATGACAAGATCAAATTCACACATAACAGTATTAACTTTAAATGTAAATGGGATAAATGTTCCAATTAAAAGACACAGACTGGCAAATTGGATAAAGAGTCAAGACCCATCAGTGTGCTGTATTCAGGAGACCCATCTTGCATGCAGAGACACACATAGGCTCAAAATAAAGGGATGGAGGAAGATCTACCAAGCAAATGGAAAACAAAAAAAAGGGGTTGCAATCCTAGTCTCTGATAAAAGAGATTATAAACCAACAAAGATCAGAAAATACAAAGAAGGCCATTACATAATGTTAAAGGGATCAATGCAGCAAGAAGAGCTACCTATCCTAAATATATATGCACCCAATACAGGAGCACCCAGGTTCATAAAGCAAGTCCTTAGAGACCTACAAAGAGACTTAGGTTCCCACACAATAATAATGGGAGACTTTAACACCCTACTGTCAACATTAGACAGATCAACGAGACAGAAAGTTAACAAGGATATCCAGGAAATGAACTCAGCTCTGCACCAAGCAGACCTAATACACATCTACAGAACTCTTCACCCCAAATCAACAGAATATACATCCTTCTTAGCACCACATTGCACTTATTACAAAATTCACCACAGAGTTGGAAGTAAAGCACTCCTCAGCAAATGTAAAAGAACAGAAATTATAACAAACTGTCTCTCAGACCACAGTGCAATCAAATTAGAACTCAGGATTAAGAAACTCACTCAAAACTGCTCAACTACATGGAAACTGAAAAACCTGCTACTGAATGACTACTGGGTACGTAACGAAATGAAGGCAGGAATAAAGATGTTCTTTGAAACCAATGAGAACAAAGACACAACATACCAGAATCTCTGGGACACATTCAAAGCAGTGTGTAGAGGGAAATTTATAGTACTAAATGCCCACAAGAGAAAGCAGGAAAGATCCAAAATTGATACCCTAACATCACAATTAAAAGAACTAGAGAAGTAAGAGCAAACACATTCAAAAGCTAGCCAAAGGCAAGAAATAACTAAAATCAGAGCAGAACTGAAGGAGATAAGTGACACAAAAAAAACCCTTCAAAAAATCAATGAATCCAGGAGCTGGTTTTTTGAAAAGATCAACAAAACAGATAGGCTGCTAGCAAGACTAATAAAGAAGAAAAGAGAAGAATCAAATAGACGCAATAAAAATGATAAAGAAGATATCACCACCGATCCCACAGAGATTCAAACTACCATCAGAGAATACTATAAACACCTCTTTGAAAATAAACTAGAAAATCTAGAAGAAATGGATAAATTCCTGGACACATACACCCTCCCAAGACTAAACCAGGAAAAGGCTGAATCCCTGAATAGACCAATAATAGGCTCTGAAACTGAGGCAATAATTAATAGCTTACCAACCAAAGAAACTCCAGGACCAGATGGATTCACAGCCCAATTCTACCAGAGGTACAAGGAGGAGCTGGTACCATTCCTTCTGAAACTATTCCAATCAATAGAAAAAGAGGGAATCCTCCCTAACCCATTTTATGAGGCCAGCATCATCCTGATACCAAAGCCTGGCAGAGACACAACAAAAAAAAGAGAATTTTAGACCAATACCCCTGATGAACATTGATGCAAAAATCCTCAATAAAATACTGGAAAACCAAATCCAGCAGCACATCAAAAGCTTATCCACCGTGATCAAGTGGGCTTCATCCCTGGGATGCAAGGCTGGTTCAACATATGCAAATCAATAAACATAATCCATCATATAAACAGAACCAGTGACAAAAACCACATGATTATCTCAATAAATGCAGAAAAGGCCTTCAACAAAATTCAACACTGCTTCATGCTAAAAACTCTCAATAAACTAGGTATCAATGGAACATATCTCAAATTAATAAGAGCTATTTATGGTAAACCCACAGCCAATATCATACTAAATGTGCAAAAACTGGAAGCATCCCCTTTGAAAACCGGCACAAGACAAGGATGCCCTCTCTCACCACTCCTATTCAACATACTATTGGACATTCTGGCCAGGGCAATCAGCCAAGAGAAAGAAACAAAGGGTATTCAAATAGGAAGACAGGAAGTCAAATTGTCTCTGTTTGCAGATGACATGATTGTATATTTAAAAAACCCCGTCTCAGCCCAAAATCTCCTTAAGCTGATAAGCAACTTCAGCAAAGTCTCAGGATACAAAATCAATGTGCAAAAATCACAAGCATTCCTATATACCAATAACAGACAAACAGAGAGCCAAATCATGAGTGAACTCCCATTCACAATTGCTTCAAAAAGAACAAAATACCTAGGAATCCAACTTACAAGGGATGTGAAGGACCTCTTAAAGGATAATTACAAACCACTGCTCAATGAAATAAAAGAGGATACAAACAAATGGAAGAACATTCCATGCTCATGGATAGGAAGAATCAATATCATGAAAATGGCCATACTGCCTAAGGTAATTTATAGATTCAATGCCATCCCCATCAAGCTACCAATGACTTTCTTCACCGAATTGGAAAAAAACTACTTTAAACTTCATATGGAACCAAAAAAGAGCCTGCATTGCCAAGACAATCCTGGGCAAGAAGAACAAAGGTAGAAGCATCACGCTACCTGACTTCAAACTATACTACAAGGCTATAGTAACCAAAACAGCATGGTACTGGTACCAAAACAGAGATATAGATCAATGGAACAGAACAGAGCCCTCAGAAATAATACCACACATCTACAACCATCCAATCTTTGACAAACCTGAGAAAAACAAGCAATGGGGAAAGGATTCCCTATTTAATAAATGGTGCTGGGAAAACTGGCTAGCCATATGTAGAAAGCTGAAACTGGATCCCTTCCTTACACCTTATACAAAAATTAATTCAAGATGGATTAAAGACTTACATGTTAGACCTAAAACCATAAAAACCCTAGAAGAAAACCTAGGCAATACCATTCAGGACATAGGCATGGACAAGGACTTCATGTCTAAAACACCAAAAGCAAGGGCAACAAAAGCCAAAACTGACAAATGGGATCTAATTAAACTCAAGAGCTTCTGCACAGCAAAAGAAACTACCATCAGAGTGAACAGGCAACCTACAAAATGGGAGAAAATTTTCGCAACCTACTCATCTGACAAAGGGCTAATATCCAGAATCTACAAAGAACTTAAACAAATTTACAAGAAAAAAATCAAACAACCCCATCAAAAAGTGGGCAAAGGATATGAACAGACACTTCTCAAAAGAAGATATTTATGCAACCAAAAGACACATGAAAAAATGCTCATCATCACTGGCCATCAGAGAAATGCAAATCAAAACCACAATGAGATACCATCTCACACCACTTAGAATGGCGATCATTAAAAAGTCAGGAAACAACAGATGCAGGAGAGGATGTGGAGAAATAGGAACACTTTTACACTGTTGGTGGGACTGTAAACTAGTTCAACCATTGTGGAAGACAGTCTGATAATTCCTTGAGGATCTAGAACTAAAAATACCATTTCACCCAGCCATCCCATTACTGGGTATATATCCAAAGGATTATAAATCATGCTGCTATAAAGACACATGCACATGTATGATTATTGCAGCACTATTCACAATAGCAAAGACTTGGAACCAACCCAAATGTCCATCAGTGATAGACTGGATTAAGAAAATGTGGCACATATACACCATGGAATACTATGCAGCCATAAAAAAGGATGAGTTCATGCCCTTTGTAGGGACACGGTTGAAGCTGGAAACCATCATTCTGAGCAAACTATCACAAGGACCAAGGACAGAAAACCAAACACTGCATGTTCTCACTCATAGGTGGGAAGTGAACAAGGAGAACATTTGGACACAGGGTAGGGAACATCACACACCCGGGCCTGTCGTGGGGTCGGGGGAAGGGGAAGGGATAGCATTAGGAGATATACCTAATGTAAATGACAAGTTAATGGGTGCAGCACACCAACATGGCACAGGTATACATATGTAACGAACCTGCACATTGTGCACATGTACCCTAGAACTTAAAATATAATAAAAATAAATAAATAAAAACAAAAAAAAGACACCAAATCTGTGGCAATTTGCTATGGTCACAATAGAAAATAAATAACGGAGGGAAAGCATTCAAACTCTTACTGTTAAGTGTAATGTTCACTGTTGGGCTTTTTTCATAAATGCACTTTATTTCGTTATTGAAGTTCTTGTATACTCCCAGTTTGCTGAGAGTTGTTCTCAAGAATGGGTATTAGGTGTTGTCAAATGCTTTTTCTATAGAGATAATCTTATAATTTTTTAAACACTTTTCTGTTAATATGGTGAATTATATTAATCTTTCTATCTCCTCTGTAGGACAGTCATGGAAAAAAATGTAATTTTTAATAGAAAGCATACAAAGGAATAAATTTGTAATAAGACCTCCACCATGGCATGTTAGAATTGTGAGTGAGGGTGTATTAATCATTATTTTTCTTCTTTTTTAAGTAACAGATATATTGATATATAATTCCCTTACTATAAATTTCATCCTTTTAAAGTATTTTAAGTAACAAACTTGTTGATATAATTCCCTTACCATAAAATTCATCGTTTTAAAATATAATTCAATGGTTTTTAGTATATTCAGCATTGTGCAACCATCAACATTATCTAATTTCAGTAAACTATCATCACCAAAAAAAACCTTGTACCATTACTAGTCACTCCTAAATTCTCCCCTCTACCCAAGCATTGACAACCACTAACCTATAGATTTGCCTATTCTGAGCACTTCACTTAACTGGAATTATAGAAGATTCAGCCTTTTGTGACTGGTTTCTTTTACACTGTACAATTTTTCAAGTCTGATCTATATATAAGTACTTCATTCCTTTTTATTGCTGAATATTCCATTACAGAATACCACATTTCATTTATTCATCCATCAGTTGATGTCTGGGTGGTTTCCACTTTTTTACTATTGTGAGTATGCTGTTATGAACATCAGCCTACGAGTTTTTTGATAAACGTACATTCTCAATTTTCTTAGGCATATATCAAGGTATAGAATTGCTAGGTCACATGCTGACTCTAAGTTTAACATTTTGAGAAACTGACAAACTTTTCCAAAGCAGCTGCACCATTTTACAATGTATGAGAGCTCCAATTTCTTTAATCTTTGTCAACACTTGATATTGTCTGTGTTTTTCATTTTAGACATCTTACTGGGTGCAAAGAAGTATCTCATTGTAGTTTTGATATGCATTCCCCAATAACTAATGATGTTAAGCATTTTTTTATTTGCCTATTGGCCATCTCTATGTAGTCTTTGGAGAAATGTTTATTGAAACTGTTTGCCCATTTTTTAATTGGGTTGTCTTTATTGTTGACTTAAAACAGTTCTTTTTTTTTTTTTTCTTTGAGATGGAGCCTTGCTCTGTGACCCAGGCTGGAGTGCAGTGGCACAATCTCGGCATATTGCAATCTCTCCCACCTGGGTTCAAACGATTCTCCAGCCTCCGCCTCCTGGGTTCAAGAGATTCTCCAGCCTCCACCTCCTGAGTAGCTGGGATTATAGGAGTGCACCACCATTCCTGGCTAATTTTTGTGTTTTTATTAGAGACGGGGTTTCGCCATGTTGGCCAGGCTGGTCTCAAACTCCTGACCTCAAGTGATTCATCTGCCTCGGCCTCCCAAAATGATAGGATTACAGGTGTGAGCCACTGCCCCTGGCCCTTGTAACAGTTCTTTACATAGTATAGATAGAAATCCCTTATCAGGTATTTTATATATTAGATATGATATGTATATATATGAGAAATATTTTCTCCCTTTCAGTAGGTTTTCTTTTCACTTTCTTGATGGTGTCCTTTGAGGCACAAACACTTTTAATTTTGTTCCTTTAAAAAAAAAGACATTTATTTTAGGTTCAGGTGTACATGTGAAGGTTTGTCACACAGGTGAACTCATGTCACAGGGGTTTGTTGTACAAATTATTTCATCACCCAGGTATGATGCCCAGTACCCAATAGTTAACTTTTCTACCCTTCTCCCTCCTCCCATCCTCTAATCTCAGATAGACCAGTATCTGTTGTTCCCTTCTTTGTGCTCATGAGTTCTCATCATTTAGCTCCCACTTATAAGTGACAACATGTGGTATTCGAATTTCTGTTCCTGCATTAGTTTGCTAAAGATAACAGCCTTGAGCTCCATCCATGTTCCCACAAAAGACATGATCTCATTCTTTTTTAGGCTGCATAGTATTCCACGGTGTGTATGTGCCATATTTTCTCTATCCAATCTGTCACTGATGGGCATTTAGATTGATTCCATGCTTTTGTGAATAGTGCTGCAATGAATATTCACGTGTATGTATGTGTCTTTATGGCAGAATGATTTATATTCCTCTGGGTATACATCCAGTAATGGGACTGCTGGGTCAAACGGTAGTTCTGCTTTTAGCTCTTTCATGAATCACCACATTGCTTTCCACAAAGGTTAAACTAATTTACACTCCCACCAATGTATACGTGTTCTCTTTTCTCTGCAACCTTGCCAGCATCTGTAATTTTTTTACTTAGTAATCGCCACTCTGACTAGTGTGACAAGGTATCTCATTGTGGTTTTGACTTGTATTTCTCTAACAAATGGTGACATTGAGCTTTTTTTCATATGTATGTTGGCTGCATGTATGTCTTCCTTTGAAAAGTGTCTGTTCCAGCAGCATTCGCAGTTCACGAAAATCTGCTGTTCTGCAGCCACCGCTGCTGGTACCCAGGTAAACAGGGTCTGGAGTGGACCTCTAGCAAACTCCAACAGACCTGCAGCTGAGGGTCCTGTCTGTTAGAAGGAAAACTAACAAACAGAAAGGACATCCACACCAAAAACCTATCTGTACATCACCATCATCAAAGACTAAAAGCAGACAAAACCACAAAGATGGGGAAAAACAGAGCAGAAAAACTGGAAACTCTGAAAAGCAGAGTGCCTCTCCTCCTCCAAAGGAACGCAGCTCCTCACCAGCAACGGAACAAAGCTGGATGGAGAATGACTTTGACGAGTTGAGAGAAGAAGGCTTCAGATGATCAAATTACTCCGAGCTACAGGAGGAAATTCAAACCAAAGGCAAGGAAGTTGAAAACTTTGAAAAAAATTTAGAAGAATGTATAACTAGAATAACCAATACAGAGAAGTGCTTAAAGGAGCTGATGGAGCTGAAACCCAAGGCTTGAGAACTATGTGAAGAATGCAGAAGCCTCAGGAGCTGATGCGATCAACTAGAAGAAAGGGTATCAGTGATTGAAGATCAAATGAATGAAATGAAGCGAGAAGGGAAGTTTAGAGAAAAAACAATGAAAAGAAACGAACAAAGCCTCCAAGAAATATGGAACTATGTGAAAAGACCAAATCTACATCTGATTGGTGTACCTGAAAGTGACAGGGAGAATGGAACCAAGTTGGAAAACACTCTGTAGGATATTATCCAGGAGAACTTCCCCAACCTAGCAAGGCAGGCCAACATTCAGATTCAGGAAATACAGAGAATGCCACAAAGATACTCCATGAGAACAGCAACTCCAAGACACATAATTGTCAGATTCACCAAAGTTGAAATGAAGGAAAAAATGTTAAAGGCAGCCAGAAACAAAGGTCGGGTTACCCACAAAGGGAAGCCCATCAAACTAACAGCGGATTTCTTGGCAGAAACTCTACAAGCCAGAAGAGAGTGGGGGCCAATATTCAACAATCTTAAAGAAAAGACTTTTCAACCCAGAATTTCATATCCAGCCAAACTAAGCTTCATAAGTGAAGGAGAAATAAAATACTTTACAGAGAAGCAAATGCTGAGAGATTTTGTCACCACCAGGCCTGCCCTAAAACAGCTCCTGAAGGAAGCACTAAACATGGAAAAGAACAATTGGTATCAGCCACTGCAAAATCATGCCAAATTATAAAGACCATCAAGGCTAGGAAGAAACTGCATCAACTAACGAGCAAAATAACCAGCTGACATCATAATGACAGGATCAAATTCACACATAACAGTATTAACTTTAAATGTAAATGGACTAAATGCTCCAATTAAAAGACACAGATTGGCAAATTGGATAAAGAGTCAAGATTCATCAGTGTGCTGTATTCAGGAGACCCATCTCATGTGCAGAGACACACATAGGCTCACAATAAAAGGATGCAGGAAGATCTACCAAGCAAATGGAAAACAAAAAAAGGCAGAGGTTGCAATCCTAGTCTCTGATAAAACAGACTTTAAACCAACAAAGATCAAAAGAGACAAAAAAGGCCATTACATAATGGTAAAGGGATCAATTCAACAAGAAGAGCTAACTATCCTAAATGTATATGCACCCAATACAGGAGCACCCAGATTTATAAAGCAAGTCCTGAGTGACCTACAAAGAGATTTCGACTCCCACACAATAATAATGGGAGACTTTAACACCCCACTGTCAACATTAGACAGATCAACGAGACAGAAAGTTAACAAAGATACCCAGGAATTGAACTCAGCTCTGCACCAAGCGGACCTAATAGACATCTACAGAACTCTCCACCCCAAATCAACAGAATATACATTTTTTTCAGCACCACACCACACCTATTCCAAAATTGACCACATACTGGGAAGTAAAGCTCTCCTCAGCAAATGTAAAAGAACAGAAATTATAACAAACTATCTCTCAGACCACAGTGCAATCAAATTAGAACTCAGGATTAAGAAACTCACTCAAAACCGCTCAACTACATGGAAACTGAACAACCTGCTCCTGAATGACTACTGGGTACATAACAAAACGAAGGCAGAAATAAAGATGTTCTTTGAAACCAACGAGAACAAAGACA
Source organism: Homo sapiens (assembly GCF_000001405.40). Taxonomy (NCBI): domain Eukaryota; kingdom Metazoa; phylum Chordata; class Mammalia; order Primates; family Hominidae; genus Homo; species Homo sapiens. Next base: position 170,928,126 of record NC_000003.12, on the reverse strand, counting down.
CAACATACCAGAATCTCTGGGACTCATTCAAAGCAGTGTGTAGAGGGAAATTTATAGCACTAAATGCCCACAAGAGAAAGCAGGAAAGATCCAAAATTGACACCCTAACATCACAATTAAAAGAACTAGAAAAGCAAGAGCAAACACATTCAAAGCTAGCAGAAGGCAAGAAATAACTAAAATCAGAGCAGAACTGAAGGAAATAGAGACACAAAAAAACCCTTCAAAAAATTAATGAATCCTGGAGCTGGTTTTTTGAAAGGATCAACAAAATTGATAGACCGCTAGCAAGACTAATAAAGAAGAAAAGAGAGAAGAAACATATAGATGCAATAAAAAATGATAAAGGGGATATCACCACCGATCCCACAGAAATACAAACTACCATCAGAGAATACTACAAACACCTCTACGCAAATAAACCAGAAAATCTACAAAAAATGGATAAATTCCTCGACACATACACCTTCCCAAGACTAAACCAGGAAGAAGTTGACTCTCTGAATAGACCAATAACAGGCTCTGAAATTGTGGCAATAATCAATAGCTTACCAACCAAAAAGAGTCCAGGACCAGATGGATTCACAGCCGAATTCTACCAGAGGTACAAGGAGGAACTGGTACCATTCCTTCTGAAACTATTCCAATCAATAGAAAAAGAGGGAATCCTCCCTAACTCATTTTATGAGGCCAGCATCATCCTGATACCAAAGCCGGGCAGAGACACAACCAAAAAAGAGAATTTTAGACCAATATCCTTGATGAACATTGATGCAAAAATCCTCAATAAAATACTGGCAAAACGAATCCAGCAGCACATCAAAAAGCTTATCCACCATGATCAAGTGGGCTTCATCCCTGGGATGCAAGGCTGGTTCAATATATGCAAATCAATAAATGTAATCCAGCATATAAACAGAGCCAAAGACAAAAACCACATGATTATCTCAATAGATGCAGAAAAGGCCTTTGACAAAATTCAACAACACTTCATGCTAAAAACTCTCAATAAATTAGGTATTGATGGGACATATCTCAAAATAAAAAGAGCTATCTATGACAAACCCACAGCCAATATCATACTGAATGGGCAAAAACTGGAAACATTCCCTTTGAAAACTGGCACAAGACAGGGATGCCCTCTCTCACCACTCCTATTCAACATAGTGTTGGAAGTTCTGGACAGGGCAATTAGGCAGGAGAAGGAAATAAAGGGTACTCAATTAGGAAAAAAGGAAGTCAAATTGTCCCTGTTTGCAGATGACATGATTGTACATCTAGAAAGCCCCATTGTCTCAGTCCAAAATCTCCTTAAGCTGATAAGCAACTTCAGCAAAGTCTCAGGATACAAAATCAATGTACAAAACTCACAAGCATTCTTATACACCAATAAGAGAAAAACAGAGAGCCAAATCATGAGTGAACTCCCATTCACAATTGCTTCAAAGAGAATAAAATACCTAGGAATCCAACTTACAAGGGACGTGAAGGACCTCTTCAAGGAGAACTACAAACCACTCCTCGATGAAATAAAAGAGGATACAAACAAATGGAAGAACATTCCATGCTCATGGGTAGGAAGAATCAATATCACGAAAATGGCCATACTGCCCAAGGTAATTTATAGATTCAATGCCATCCCCATCAAGCTACAAACGACCTTCTTCACATAACTGGAAAAAACTACTTTAAACTTCACATGGAACCAAAAAAGAGCCCGCATCACCAAGTCAATCCTAAGCCAAAAGAACAAAGCTGGAGGCATCATGCTACCTGACTTCAAACTATACTACAAGGCTACAGTAACCAAAACAGCATGGTACTGGTACCAAAACAGAGATATAGATCAATGGAACAGAACAGAGCCCTCAGAAATAACGCCACATATCTACAACTATCTGATCTTTGACAAACCTGACAAAAACAAGCAATGGGGAAAGGATTCCCTATTTAATAAATGGTGCTGGGAAAACTGGCTAGCCATATGTAGAAAGCTGAAACTGGATCCCTTCCTTACACCTTATACAAAAATTAATTCAAGATGGATTAAAGACTTAAACGTTAGACCTAAAACCATAAAAACCCTAGAAGAAAACCTAGGCAATACCATTCAGGACATAGGCATGGACAAGGACTTCATGTCTAAAACACCAAAAGCAATGGCAACAAAAGCCAAAATTGACAAATGGGATCTAATTAAACTCAAGAGCTTCTGCACAGCAAAGGACCTACCATCAGAGTGAACAGGTAACCTACAGAATGGGAGAAAATTTTTGCAACCTACTCATCTGACAAAGTTCATCTACAATGAACTCAAACAAATTTACAAGAAAAAAACAAACAACCCCATCAAAAAGTGGGTGAAGGACATGAACAGACACTTCTCAAAAGAAGACATTTATGCAGCCAAAAAACACATGAAAAAATGCTCACCATCACTGGCCATCAGAGAAACGCAAATCAAAACCACAATGAGATACCATCTCACACCACTTAGAATGGCAATCATTAAAAAGTCAGGAAACAACAGGCGCTGGAGAGGATGTGGAGAAGTAGGAACACTTTTACACTGTTGGTGGGACTGTAAACTAGTTCAACCATTGTGGAAGTCAGTGTGGTGATTCCTCAGGGATCTAGAACTAGAAATACCATTTCACCCAGCCATCCCATTACTGGGTATATACCCAAAGGATTGTAAATCATGCTGCTATAAAGACACATGCACACGTATGTTTATTGCAGCACTATTCACAATAGCAAAGACTTGGAATCAACCCAAATGTCCAACAATGATAGACTGGATTAAGAAAATGTGGCACATATACACCATGGAATACTATGCAGCCATAAAAAAGGATGAGTTCATGTCCTTTGTAGGGACATGGATGAAATTGGAAATAATCATTCTCAGTAAACTATCGCAAGAACAAAAAACCAAACACCGCATATTCTCATTCATAGGTGGGAATTGAATAATGAGAACACATGGACACAGGAAGGGGAACATCACATTCTGGAGACTGTTGTGGGGTGGGGGGAGGGGGGAGGGATAGCTTTAGGAGATATACCTAATGCTAAATGACGAGTTAATGGGTGCAGCACACCAGCATGGCACATGTATACATATGTAACTAACCTGCACATTGTGCATATGTATCCTAAAACTTAAAGTATAATAATAATAAAATAAAATAAAATAAAATAAAATAAAAAAGTGTCTGTTCATGTCCTTCCCCCAATTTTTAATGAGGTTGTTTGCTTTTCATTTGTAAATTTGTTTAAGTTTGTTATAGATGCTTGGTATTAGACCTTTGTCAGATGCATAGTTTGCAAATATTTTCTCCCATTCTACAGGCTGTTTACTCTGTTGATAGTTTTTTTGTTTGTTTGTTTGTTTTGCTGTCAAAAGCTCTTCAGTTAAATTAGAGCTCATTTTTCAATTTTTGCTTTTGTTGCAACTGCTCTTGGTGTCTTCTTCAGGAAATTTTTCTCCATTCCTATGTCTAGGATGATACCGCCTAGGTTGTCTTCCAGGGTTTCTATAGTTTTAGGTTTTACATTTAGGTCTTTAATCCATCTTGAGTTGATTCTTTTTTTTTTTTTTTTTTTTTTTTTAGTATTTATTGATCATTCTTGGGTGTTTCTCGCAGAGGGGGATTTGGCAGGGTCATAGGACAATAGTGGAGGGAAGGTCAGCAGATAAACAATTGAACAAGGGTCTCTGGTTTTCCTAGGCAGAGGACCCTGAGGCTTTCCACAGTGTTTGTGTCCCTGGGTACTTGAGATTAGGGAGTGGTGATGACACTTAACGAGCATGCTGCCTTCAAGTACCTGTTTAACAAAGCACATCTTGCACCACCCTTAATCCATTTAACCCTGAGTGGACACAGCACATGTTTCAGAGAGCACAGGGTTGGGGGTAAGGTTATAGATTAACAGCATCCCAAGGCAGAAGAATTTTTCTTAGTACAGAACAAAATGGAGTCTCCTATGTCTACTTCTTTCTACACAGACACAGCAACAATCTGATTTCTCTATTTTTTCCCCACATTTCCCCCTTTTCTATTCGACAAAACTGCCATCGTCATCATGGCCCATTCTCAATGAGCTGTTGGGTACACCTCCCAGATGGGGTGGCGGCCGGGCAGAGGGGCTCCTCACTTCCCAGAAGGGGCAGCCGGGCAGAGGCAGCCCCCACCTCCCGGACGGGGCTGCTGGCTGGGCATGGGCTGCCCCCCACCTCCCTCCCGGACGGGGCGGCTGGCCGGGCGGGGGCTGCCCCCCACCTCCCTCCCGGATGGGGCGGCTTGTCAGATGGGGCGGCTGCCAGGCGGAGATGCTCCTCACTTCCCTGACGGGGTGGCTGCCGGGTGGAGGGGCTCCTCACTTCTCAGACGGGGCGGCTGCCGGGTGGAGGGGCTCCTCACTTCTCAGACGGGGTGGCCGGGCAGAGACGCTCCTCACCTCCCAGATGGGGTCGCAGCCGGGCAGAGGTGCTCCTCACATCCCAGACGGGGCAGCGGGGCAGAGGCGCTCCCCACATCTCAGACGATGGGTGGCTGGGTAGAGACGCTCACTTCCTAGACGGGATGGCGGCCAGGAAGAGGCGCTCCTCACTTCCCAGACTGGGCAGCCGGGCAGAGGGGCTCCTCACATCCCAGATGATGGGCAGCCAGGCAGAGACGCTCCTCACTTCCCAGACGGGGTGGCAGCCGGGCTGAGGCTGCAATCTCGGCACTTTGGGAGGCCAAGGCAGGCGGCTGGGAGGTGGAGGTTGTAGCGAGCTGAGATCATGCCACTGCACTCCAGCCTGGGCAACACTGAGCACTGAGTGAACGAGACTCCATCTGCAATCCCGGCACTCAGGAGGCCGAGGCTGGCAGATCACTCGCGGTTAGGAGCTGGAGACCAGCCCAGCCAACACAGCAAAACCCCGTCTCCACCAAAAAAATATGAAAACCAGTCAGGCGTGGCGGGGCGCGCCTGCAATCCCAGGCACTCGGCAGGCTGAGGCAGGAGAATCAGGCAGGGAGGTTGCAGTGAGCCGAGATGGCAGCAGTACAGTTCAGCTTCGGCTCGGCATCAGAGGGAGACCGTGGAGAGAGAGGGAGAGGGAGACCGTGGGGAGACGGAGAGAGGGAGAGGTAGAGGGAGAGGGAGAGCGAGTTGATTCTTGTATATGGTATAAGGGGTAAGGGGTCCAGCTTCAATCTTCCACATATGGCTAGCCAGTTATCCCAGCTCCATTAATTAAATAGGGAGTCTTATCACCATTGCTTGTTTTTGTCAGCTTTGTCGAAGATCAGATAGTAATAGGTGTGCAACTTATTTCTGTGCTCTCTAGGCTGTTCCATTGGTCTATGTGCTTGTTTCTGTATCAGTACCATGCTGTTTTGGTTACTGTAGCCCTGTAGTATAGTTTGAAGTTGGGTAGCGTGATGCCTACAGCTTTGTTCTTTTTCCATAGGATTACCTTGGCTATCCGGGCTCTTTTTTGGTTCCATATGAATTTTAAAATATTTTCAAGTTCTGTGAAGAATGTCATTGGTATTTTGATAGGAATAGCACTGAGTCTGCAGACTGTTTTAGGCAGTCTGGCCATTTTGATGTTTATTCTTGCTATCCATTAGCATGGGATGTTGTTCCGTTTGTTTCTGTCTTCTCTGATTTCTTTGAGCAGTGTTTTGTAGTTCTCCTTGTAGAGCTCTTTTGCCTCCCTAGTTGGCTGTATTCCTAGGTATTTTACTCTTTTCGAGGCCATTGTGAATAGGATTGCCTTCCTGATTTTGGCTCTCGGCTTGACTGTTGTTGGTGTATAGAAATTCTAGTGATTTTTGAACAATGATTTTGTATCCTGAAGCTTTACTGAAATTGTTTATCAGATCAAGGAGCTTTTGGACCAAGACTATGGGGTTTCCTAGCTATGGAATCATGTCATCTACAAACAGGGATAGATTGACTTCCTGTCTTCCAATTTGGATGCCCTTTATTTCTTTTCTTGCCTGATTGCTCTGGCTAGGAATTCCAATACTATATTGAATAGGAGTGGTGACAGAGGGCATCTTTGTCTTGTGCTGGTTTTAAAGGTGAGTGCTTCTAGGTTTTGCCTATGCATTATGATGCTGGCTGTGGGTTTTCATAGATAGCTCTTATTTTGAGGTATGTTCCTTCAACGCTTAGTTTATTGAGCGTTTTTAACATGAAGCAGTGTTGAATTTTATCAAAAGCCTTTTCTGTATCTATTGAGACAGTCATATGGTTTTGGTCTTTACTTCTGTTTATGTGATGAATCACATTTATTGATTTGTGTATGTTGAACTAATCTTGCATCCTGGGAATGAAGCCTACTTGATCATGGTGGATTAGCTTTTTGATTTGCTCCTGGATTTAGTTTACAAGTATATTGTTGAGGATTTTTGCATCAATGTTCATCAAAGATATTGGCCTGAAGTTCTTTTTTGTTGTGTCTCTGCCAGGTTTTGGTATTAGAATGATCCTAGCCTCATAGAATGAGTTGGGGAGGAGTCCCTCCTCCTCAGTTTTTTGGAATAGTTTCAGTAGGAATGGTATCAACTCTTCATTGTACATCTGATAGAATCTGGCTGTATATCCATCTGGTCCTGGGCTTTTTTTGGTTGGTAGGCTATTTATTACAGATTCAGTTCTGGAGTTCATTATTGGTCTCGTCAGGGAATCAATTTCTTCCTGGTTCAGTCTAGGTTTTGTAGTCTGTGTGCATAGAGGTGTTCATAGTAGTTTCTGATGGTTATTTTTATTTCTGTGGAGTCAGTGGTAACATTCCCTTTGTCATTTTTAATTGTGTATATTTGGATCTTTTCTTTTTCTTCTTTATAGCTTGAGCCTATCTTATTAACTTTTTCAAAAAACAAACACCTGGATTTGTTGATCTTTTGAATGGTTATTGGTGTACTGATTTCCTTCAGTTTAGCTCTGGTTTTGGTTATTTCTTATCTTCTACTGCCTTGGGAATTGATTTGCTCTTCCTTCTCTAATTCTTTCAGTTGTGATGTTAGGTTGTTAATTTGAGATCTTTCCAACTTTTTGATGTGGACATGTGGTGCTATAAATTTCCTTCTTAACACTGCCTTAGCTGTTTCCCAGAGATTCTGGTATGTTGTATCTTTGTTCTCGTTAGTTTCAAAGAACTTCTTGATTTCTGCCTTAATTTTGTTATTTATCCAAAAGTCATTCAGGAGCATGTTGTTTAATTTCCATGTAACTGCATGGTTTTGAGTGATTTTCTTAGTCTTGACTTCTATTTTTATTGCACTGTGGACTGAGACTGTTTGGTATGATTTTGGTTCTTTTGTATTTGCTGAGGATTGTTGTATGTACAATTATATGGTCGATTTTAGAGTATGTGCCATATGCTGATGAGAAGAATATATATTCTGCTGCTTTGGGGTGAAGAGTTCTGTAGAGGTCTATCAGATCTCTTTGGTTCAATGTTGAGTTCAGGTCCTGAATATCTTGGTTAATTTTCTGCCTGGATGATCTAATACTGTCAGTGGAGTGTTTAAATCTCCCACTATTATTGTGTTGAAGTCTATGTCTCTTTCTAGGTCTCTAAGAACTTGCTTTATGAATCTGGGTGCTCCTGTGTTTGGTACATATATATTTAGGATAGTTAGGTCTTCTTGTGGAATTTAACACTTTCCCATTATGTAATGCCCTTCTTTATATATTTTTTTATCTTTGTTGGTTTAAACTCTGTCTTGTCTGAAATTAGGATTGCAACCCTTGCTTTTTTCTGTTTCCCATTTGCTTGGTATATTTTCCTCCATCCCTTTATCTTGAGCCTATGGGTGTCATTACATATGAGATGGGTCTCTGAAGACAGCATACCATTGGGTCTTGCTTTTTTTATTCAGCTTGCCACTCTGTACCTTTTAAGTGGGGCATTTAGCCTGGTTACATTCAAGGTTAGTCTAAGAGCCTGTTATCACACTATTAATAAAGACATACCAGAGACTGGGTAATTTATAAAGAAAAAGAGGTTTAATGGACTCACCATTCCATGTGGCTGGGGAGGCCTCACAATCATGGTGGAAGGTGAAGGAGGAGCAAAGGCACATCTTTCATGGCAGCAGGAAAGAGCGTGTGCAGGGGAACTCCCCTTTATAATATCATTAGGTGTCATGAGACTTATTCACTATCATGAGAACAGCACAAGAAAAACCTACCCCCATGATTTAATTACATCCCACAGAGTCCCTCTCATGACACATGGGGATTATGGGAGCTACAACTGAAGACAAGATTTGGGTGGGGACACAGAGCCAAACCATAGCAATCCAACCCTGGCCCCTCCCAAATCTCAAGTCCTCACATTTCAAAACCAATCATGCCTTTCCAACAGTCCCCCAAAGTCTTAGCCCATTCTAGCATTAACCCAAAAATCCAAGTTCAAAGTCTCATCTGAGACAAGGCAAGTCCCTTCTGCCTATGAGCCCGCAAAATCAAAAGCAAGTTAGTTACTTCCTAGATACAATGAGGGTACAGGCATTGGGTAAATAAACCCATTCCAAATGGGAGAAATTGGCCAAAACAAAGGGGCTACAGGCCCCACGCAAGTCCAAAATCCAGCAGGGCAGTCAAATCTTAAAGCTCCAAAATGATCTCCTTTGACTCCATGTCTCACATCCAAGTCACACTGATGCAAGAGGTGAGTTCCCAAGGCCTTGGGCAGTTCCACTCCTGTAGTATTGCAGGGTACAGACCCCCATCCTGGCTGCTTTCATGGGCTAGTGTTGAGTGCCCATGGCTTTTCCACGCACATGGTGCAAGCTGTTGGTGGATCTACCATTCTGGGGTCTGCAGGATGGTGGCCTCATAGCTCCTCTAGGCAGTGCCCCAGTGGGGACTCTGTGTGGAGGCTCTGACCCCACATTTCCCTTCCACACTGCCCTAGCAGAGTTTCTCCATGAGGGATCCGTCCCTGCAGCAAACTTCTGCCCGGACGTTCCATACATCCTCTGAAATATAGGCAGAGGTTCCCAAACCTCAATTGTTGACCTCTGTGCACCCACAGGCTCAACACCACGTGGAAGCTGCCAAGACTTGGGGCTTGCACCGTTGTCAAGTCACGGATCAAGTTGTACCTTGGCCCCTTTTAACCACAGCTGGAGTGGCTAGGATTCAGGACATCCCAAGTCCCCAGACTGCACACAGCAGGGGGTCCCTGGGCCCAGCACATGAAACCATTTTTTCCTCCTAGGCATCTGGGCCTGTGATGAAAGGGACTGCCACGAAGGTCTCTGACATGCCCTGGAGACATTTTCCCTATTGTCTTGATGATTAACATTCAGCTCCTCATTACTCATGCAAATTTCTGCAGTGGGCTTGAATTTCTCCCCAGAAAGTAGGTTTTTCTTTCTACTGTATCATCAGGCAGCAAATTTTTCAAACTTTTATGCTCTGCTTCCTGATGAACCCTTTGCCGTTTAGAAATTTCTTCCTCCAGATACTCTAAATCATCTCTCTCAGGTTCAGAGTTCCATAGATCTCTAGGGCAGGGGCAAAATGCTGCCAATCTCTTTGCTAAAGCATAATAAGAGTCACCTTTGCTCCAGTTCCCAACAAGTTCCTCATCTCCATCTGAAACCACCTAAGTCTGGACTTTATTGTCCATATCACTATCAGCATTTTGGTCAAGGCCATTCAACAAGTCTCTAGGAAGTTCCAAACTTTCCTACATTTCCCTATCTTTTTCTGAGCCCTCCAAACTGCCCCAGCCTCTGCCTGTTACCCAGTTCCAAAGTCACTTCCACATTTTCAGGTATCCTTATAACAGCACCCGCCTCTACTGATAACAATTTACCGTATTAGTCTGTTCTCACACTGCTAATAAAGGCATACCTGAGAGTGGGTAATTCATAAAGAAAAAGAGGTTTAAGGGACTCACAGTTTCACATGTTTGAGGAGGCCTCACAATCATGGTGGAAGGGGAAGGAGGAACAAAGGCACATCTTACATGGTGGCAGGCAAGAGAGCATGTGCAGGGGATTTGCCCTTTATAAAAACATGAGAGTTGTTCACTATCATGAGAACAGCGAAAGAAAAACTCACCCCCATGATTTAATTACCTGCCATCGGGTCCCTCCCATAACACGTGGAGATTATGGGAACTACAATTCAAGATGAGACTTGGGTGGAGACACAGCCAAACCATATCAGTTAGTATTGATATGTGTGGATTTGATCCTGTCATTGTGCTGTTAGCTGATTATTGTGCTTGCTTGTTTGTGTGGGTGCTGTATAGTGTCACTGCTCTGCGTATTTAAGTGTGTTTTTGTTTTAGCTGGTAGTGGTCTTTCCTTTCTGTATTTACTGATCCTTTCAAGATCTCAAGAGATCTTAAGGCAGCTCTGGTGGTAACAAACCCCCTCAACATTTGCTTATCTGGAAAGGATCTTATTTCTCCTTCACTTAGGAAGCTTTAGTTTTAGATACCTGGGCTTTCCAGGTTTCCCGACAAAAGCTGTTAACTCTGTCAAAGAAGGAGGAGAAGGAGGTTAGACCCCTCCCCATACATATCTCAGAACTTTGGTAGGCCGACGTAAGTGGATCACTTGAGGTCAGGAGTTTGAGACCAGCCTGGACAACGTGGTGAAATCCTGTCTCCACTAAAAAAAAAAAAAAAAAAAATTATATATATATATATATGTGTGTGTGTGTGTGTGTGTGTGTGTGTGTGTGTGTATATATGTATATATATGTGTATATATATGTGTGTATATATGTGTGTGTATATATGTGTGTATATATATGTGTGTATACACACACACACACACACACACACACACACACAAAATTAGCAGGGCGTGGTGGCAGGCACCTATAATCCCAGCTACTCAGCAGACTGAGGCAAGGCTATTGCTTGAACCCAGGAGGCAGAAGGTGCAGTGGGCTGAGGTCGCGCCACTGCACTCCAGCCTGGATGACAAAACAAGGCTCCATCTCAAATAGATAAATAAATATTAAGATTTTGTTTCACCTTGTGTCCATTTTGGTATGTTGTATTTTTCAAGAAATTTTATATTTAAAAACGCTTTATAAAGTGTTTCTCATAGATGGCATATAGTTGGGTCTTTTATGTGGTCTCTAGTTTGACAATCTCAATCTTTTGAGTGTTTAATCCATTTATATTTAATGTAATTATGGATATGGCTAAATTTATCAATTTGTTATTTGTTTTCTATTTACCCCATCTGATTTGTTTCTTTGTTTATACTTTCCTGCTTTTTTTTGTAGGTGGGGGTGGTAAATCTAACATTGTTTAGAATTCCATTTTAATTATTTCATTTGTTTTTTAGTGATTCCTCTTTATATTGCTTTTAATGGTTATTCTAAGAACTATAGTATGCATTGTTATCTAATTTTAGTCTATTTAGAGGCAGTATTAGAAAACTTCACATGAAATCTAAAAACCTTGCAACAATATACTTTCACTTACCTCTCATTTTTTGTGCTAGTTATCATATGCATTACATCTACATATGTAATAAACCCCAGATTACAGTATTGTTATAGCTTTTTAAACAATCATATGACTTAAAAAAATTAGAAGAAAAATATATAATATTTTATATTTACCCATATATTTACCATTTCAGGTGTTCTTCCTACCTTCTAATAGATTTACATTTCCCTCTGGAGACTTCCTTAAATTCAACTTATAAATCTCATCATTCTACTTACAAATATAGCACATAAGTTTAATCAATTTTAAGTGAGCTTTTAGTGAATGCTTGGTCCCAATTACAAACCTAAACACTCTTAAACAGTACATATTGTATTTAGAAGTTCAATACATTGCTTTTTTTAAAAGTACCTCAATAGTCTGGTAAATAAATAAGACCTTCCCAAGTATAAATGCAGCTCTTATAAATACAATAAATTTAATTCATAAATGTGGCGAGTCTTAAGATCTTCTAAATGTTACAATATTATTTTAAAACTTAGTGTCTTTAGTCTGTTTTTTTGTTGCTATACCAGAATACCTGAGACTGGGTTTTTTTTAAAAGAAAATTAATTTATTTCTTACAATTCTGGATTCTGGGAATTCCAAAGGTATGGTGTTGCCATTCAGTTAGCTTCTGGTGAGGACCTTCTTGTTGTGTCATAACATGGTAGAGGGCATCACATGGAAAGGAAAAGAGCATGCCAAACTGACTTTTATAACAGATTCACTCTGTGATAACTAACCCACTCCAGTGACAACCCATTAATCTATTAACCCATTAATCCATCTTTCTGCCCTCAGGACCCAATCACCTCTTAAAAGCCTCACCTCTTAATACTGTCCCATTGCAGATTAAGTTTCAACATGAGTTTTGGAGGGAACATTCAAACTACAGCACTTAGAAAGACTTCAATTTAAAACCACAAGTTTAACCCAATCACCCAATTATACATTTTAAAATTTGGAATCTCAAGGCTTACCGTCACTTGAATATGCTAAATTATCTTTAATATTACATATAATTAAAAATCAAATTTGTACCATCAAACCCCTGAGAGTACCCTATTTCTTTATTTCTATACATAACTCTTAACCTTCCCGAAGTTAAAACACATTCACCCACTAAGGAAACAACTGTATCATCTCAAACGATTTGAACTTCTTTGTTTCAATGAGAGAGCCATATTTGCTGTCGAGATGCCCAGAGCTGCTTGATTCCTTTCTACATAGTTTTTCCTTCTTTCTCTCAATTGTGGCAGCTCCTTCATACTATTTCGTAAAATTCCCTTTTTGCTTAACTTTTTAAAAATTTGTTTCTTTTGCTTGCAACCAAGAACCCTAACTAATCTACCAGAGAGTTGTAGCCCATACATTATCCTGCAAATATGGTTATTAAGAATTGGATAGAGCCAAGATGGGATAGAAGATCGTTAATTCTAAGTTCAAATTACAAAAGCAGAACATAGTAGTCTATGTTATGCAGTGGTGAAACCGCTCAACAAATTATCTCTTAGGCTGCATGGCCACTGAAAATGAAGCTCTAACTGAATGAAACTGGTAACTGCTGCCACTCAACAATTTAAAGAGTTTAAAGGATGAGAAAAGTTTTAGGACTTTGGGGGTGAGCTGACTACTTCAGACAGGATTGGGTAACTTAAACCATGAGAAATGTGTTCCCTAAATTTCATCTTAGAACAAGAAAAAAATACTGACTCATAGGCTAAGATTTCTTTGAAACAAATTTAAGAGTTTGAATCTGTGCATTGCTGGTCTCATTTGTAAACATTAGGCAACTGATAAGGGAAAGCTCTACAAGGAAAATGGGGACATCTATGTACTTCAACTTCTAAGGTGAAGTACTCCAAACCTCCAAATCCTCTGTAAACGCTATCAACAACACATAATCTGACAAGGAGTGTTTCTTGTAAACAACTGTATCTGCCTTGCCTGAGGAAACTGTCACTCCCTTGAGGAGGAAGCCATTAATTCCCTTATGCTCCACCCTTCATTGTTACTTAGGCCAGGATCCAATCCCAATTTGGAGACTGAAAGTCAAATTAAACTACCTGAAATTGAAATTAAACTACCTGACAGTGAAAGTTTGGCCACAAAATGAGTTACAGGCATTTGTTGATTTATACGGTCAAAAATACTAAAATTATTTTAGAAACGGAGGGTGCTCAACCGTAGAGATCAGATCAATAAAATTAAATCAGGCTTAATTTGCTGATGTAGGTATATGTGTCATTGTATTTTTGTGCAGCTATGTCAGACAGTTTGCTGGTTTGGTTAATGCTATTCTAAATCCAGTGCTATTCCATTTAAAAAGAAGTCAACATGGTCGAACCTCCTTTATATAAAGCAGAGTGTGAAAGGAAAATAAATCTCACCAAGCGAAAGGGAAAAGTCAAGCTGGAAACTGCATCAGGCAAACCTGCTTCCCATTTTATTCCTAAATAAGATAGCTACAAAGATAAAAAAGCTACAAACCTCCCTCACAATTTGCCCCCAAGAAAATTCCTCGTGGACCTCATGATCTTTACCCTAAAACAGTTCTGCTGATTTTCACCCTGGCAAAGTAAATTGATAGCTTATCCTCACAGGTGAGGGACAAAAAACAGAACTTAAAGTCATCCCTCTGCTCAACTGAGACAAATACTTATCTGATTGCTTCCTAGGCCCTACTGTTCATGTAAAAACGAAGATTCACTGAGCCACTCTAAGGCATAAATAACTATTCCTCTAAACTCCTCTCACATGTAAATTGTGTACTCAGTGAAAGGTTGATTAAAGACTCAGAAGAATGCAACCATTTGTCTTTTATCTACCTATGACCTGGAAGCCCCACCCCACCACCAACCCCACCCGACTTTGAGCTGTCCTGTCTTTTCAGACTGAAACAATGTACGACTTACATGTATTGACTGACATTTCAAGTCTCCCAAAAATGTATAAAATCAGCAGGGCGCGGTGGCTCACGCCTGTAATCCCAGCACTTTGGGAGGCCGAGGCGGGTGGATTACAAGGTCAGGAGATCGAGACCATCCTGGCTAACATGGTGAAACCCCGTCTCTACTAAAAGTACAAAAAAATTAGCCAGGCATGGTGGCAAGCGCCTGTAGTCCCAGCTACTGGGGAGGCTGAGGCAGGAGAATGGCGTGAACCCGGGAGGCGGAGCTTGCAGTGAGCCCAGATCGTGCCACTGCACTCCAGCCTGAGCGACAGAGTGAGACTCCATCTCAAAAAAAAAAAAAATGTATAAAATCAAGCTGTACCTTGACCACCTTGGTTACATGTCATTAGGACCGCCTGAAGCTGTATCACAGGTGCATCCTTAACCTTGGCAAAATAAACTTTCTAAATTGATTGAGATCTGTCCCAGATACTTTTGGTTTGCAAGAGGTAGAAACAGGACTATTGGAGCAAGGCGCCTTGTCAAGGGGTGGACAGGAAATGAACGCTAGAGCAACCAGAATTTCATCTTCCAGAACTTTAACTCTTAGACTTTGTATTAACACTTGTAGGTTGTTAATTCTAACAGCATCAGATGAGACTATACAATGGTTCTTGCTACAGAAACTCTAAAGTTGCACAGTTTCTGTCCTTTCAGGCTTCCTTTCAAACCTGTAGTTATTCCATATCATTCCTATAAAGACGTGCTTTTTACTTAAATTGGTAGGAACTGTTTTCTGTCGCTTGTAACCAAAAAACCCTAAGAAATACAATGTTCTTTCTCATTCTCCTCTTCCACTGGTGATCCTTTAAATAGCACAGGGCTCTATTTTTCACTCCTCTTTTTTCATTGCGCATTCTTCCTCTAAATATTCCACT
The DNA here is from genome assembly GCF_000001405.40 of Homo sapiens. NCBI lineage: Eukaryota > Metazoa > Chordata > Mammalia > Primates > Hominidae > Homo > Homo sapiens. Next base: position 170,912,810 of record NC_000003.12, on the reverse strand, counting down.
TTCATAGCTTTAATCATCACCTATATACTGATTCATAAACATGTATCTCTACTTCAGATAGTTCCCTTTCCCATAGGAACCTTAAACTTGATCTGCCCAAAAGTGAACTCGACTTTCCTCACAAACTGTTTCTCCTCTATTTTCTATCTCAATGAAAATTCACCACCATTCACCCAGATTTTTACACCATAAACTGTTGAGTCTTAATTTGACTCTTTTCTGTTCTTCGTACTCTGTGCCTCCCCATTTTGACCCTTAACATTCAATTAATTATGACATTTTTTCCATTTTCCCTTATAACTCTGCAATCTTCTCATTCATCATGTTTGTTCAACATTATTATGTCTAATTGATTTCCTACTTCCAATATTTTCTCCTCCTAAAAAATACTCCATATCACAACTAGAATAGTCTAAATTAAAAAAAAAAAAAAAAAAAGGCCAGGCACAGTGGCTTACACCTGTAATCCCAGCACTTTGGGAGGCTGAGGCAGGCAGATCATAAGGTCAGGAGATTAAGACCATTCTGGCTAACATGGTGAAACCCCGTTTCTACTAAAAATACATAAAAAAAAAAAAATTAGCCAGGCGTAGTGGCAGGCACCTATACTCCCAGCTACTCGGGAGGCTGAGGCAGGAGAATGGCTTGAACCTGGGAGGTGGAGGTTGCAATGAGCCGAGATCACACCACTGCACTCCAGCCTGGAGCAACACAGCGACACTCCATCTCAAAAAAAAATTTAATTAAAAAAATTTAAAAATAATAAAAAATTTATCATTTTCTTGTATGTACTGTCTCAATGCTTCTCTATTGCCCTTGGGAGAAAGTCCGAATTCACCCATCTTTACAGTACACACCATCATACTACGCCATTTACAGTACAAATGGTGCCACGATTCTGTCACAATACACCTCTGTAACCCCATTTCCTTTGCCTAAAGTGCCCTTTCTAAACTCCTCTCCATTGCTAACTTCTATTTGTCTTTCAAATCTCAAACTGATATCCCCCGAGAGAAGCAGTTCCTGAACCTTCTAGACCTATGATGCCCAATATGATAGCCACCAACTATGCCTAGTTATTGAGCACTTGAATTATAGCTAGTCTGAATTTAGATGTACTGAAAGTGTAAAATACACCAGATTTTGAAGGCTTAGTATGGATAAAAAGTAAAATATCTTAGTAATATTTTTATATTGGTTACATGTGAAATAATATTTTGGACATATTCAGTTAAACAGAATATACTATTGAAATTAGTTTCATTTTTTAACTTTATGTGTCTAAAAGAAAACTCAAAACTATATGTGGCTTGTATCATATTTTAATTGGACACCACCTAGCCTAAATAAGCCCCTTTTTTCAGTGCCTTATAGTTATTTCTTTACTAGCATTTGTTTCATATTTTAAAATTACTAGACTGTCTTCTGCAATAGACTGCAAGCACCTTAGGAACCAGAGGCTGTCTTGGTCAACACAGTAATACCAGAGGTAAGGCTGCTAAAGTACACATAGTCAATCTTCATTATTTTTGGATTCCATATTTGCAAATTTGCATACTTGACATAATTTACTTATAATCTTAAAATCAATACTTGCAGTGCTTTTGAAGTCATTTGTGAACATGCACAGAGACTCGTGCCATCTAACGCACATTTAGCTGAGGTCAAACTCAGCCATGCTCTGCCTTCTTGTTTCAGTCGTCAAACTGTTAACCAGTATTCTTTTCAGTCTATTTATTGCCAGTTTTTGCATTGTTGTGCTTTTTGTTGGTGATTTCACCATTCAAAATGGCCCCCAAGCACTGTGCTGAAGAGCTGTCTAATGTTCCAAAACACAAGAAAGCTACAGTGTGCCTTACAGAGAGCATATGTTAGATAAGCTACCTTCAGGTATGAATTACATTGCTGTTGGCCATGAGTTTAATGTTAATGAACCAACAATATATAGGAAATCAGGTGTCTTTAAATGGAAACACACTAAAAATCACATATTAACCAATGTTGTGGCCCAGAGGCTCAGAGGAACCTAACCCTGTATTTCCCCTAGGAGCAATGGTTTAGTATTTGCCAATTCAGTGTTCTTACTGACTTCAGGAGAACTGACTGTATTTATTGAATGAGTAATGCTCAGTCATTTGATTCCAAACCCAAATCTTTTGTGAATGCAGTATATGGTGGTAGGTAGAGCAGTGACTCTGGAACCAAACTGCCTAGGTTCCAACCTTGGTTTTCCAACTTACTAGCTTTGTAATCTGGGGCAAATTGCTTTTCTCCTTTTTCCGTAACTAAAAATGCAGGTTAAAAAAGTACTGTTAATATTTGCCAGGGGCTGGGTGTAGAGGGAGGAAACTGAGAACAAAAAGCCACTAGAAAACTTTTGGAATGAGGGAAATATTCCATATCTTGATCATAGCAGATGATCAAGATATGTTTTTCAAAACTCATAAAAAGAAAAGGGACAAATTTTTCTTTATATGAATAACTTAACAAGGTTAAAAATAGAAAGCAGCAGTGACAAACAAAGGAATAATGCACATCAAAAATTTAGTACACTACCTGCCTATATAAATACTAAATACTATTAGCGATCATTGTAAAAACAATAGGGAAAAGTTAGGAGGTATAAGGAAAAGCAGAAAGAGCTAATGAACCAAGATTCTAATCTGGCTCTTTCTTTTTGGGGTGTTGGGGGTGGGGGGGGTGGTCTCACTCTGTCAGCCAGGTTGGAGTACAGTGGCCGGATCTCGGCTCACTGCAGTCTCCACCTCCCAGGCTCAAGTGATCCTCCCACCTCAACCTCCCTAGTAGCTGGGACCACAGGTGCACAGCACCATGCCCAGCTAAGTTTTCGTATTTTTGGTAGAGACGGGGTTTCACGATGCTGCCCAGGCTGATCTCGAACTCCTGAGCTCAGGGAACCCACCTGCCTCAGCCTCCCAACGTGCTGGGATTACAGGCATGAGCCACTGCTGTAATGGCTCCTTTGTATATTAGCTAGAGGCTGAATTCAGTACATGAGAGGGCAGTAACTTATTGCGAAAGTTAAATTGGACCTGTTTGAAAGATATGTGTAAACTGTAGAGTCATACAGGAATGTGAGATATGGGATTATTCATGAGACAGCAATAGGAAATCAAAGTTACCACATAAATGCGGGTGTGGGATGGGAAATAATTTCCTAGATCACCTCCCCAAGATAGGATACTGCGGTAGGTTGCGAAATGAAACTGTGAAGGGGGAGCACATCTCTTTTAAGAACCTTTCTATGGCAGTCTACAAGCTCTAGGTCAATTTTGAAGACCATCCAAGCGTTCTAATGTGCCAGGGTTAAACCCCAAACTCTAAGGAATGCCAATGCCAGGAGGAAAGAATGGATGAGTCGGCAGAACACCTCTCTGGACCCACAATGCCGTAGGAGTCAGACACCCTTCGCCTCCACAACTTCCCAACAGCCTTTGGTGTGAGAAGTGGGTTAATTCATTTCACTGCTGGCTTGTTAGCTGGCGGACGCTTCGGGAGTTCCCACCCCAGGGAGCAGTGCTGACTCTACAGGGGCATCCGGCGGCAGTCGCTGCCAAAAATCTCACCAAGGGGTGAATGGGGGGTCCTCAGGACCTGCGGTGCCGAGCTGGGTAATAAAATACTGCACCTGAATTCTTCTTTAAGGACCAGGAGGAGGTTCGAACCCCAAGAAAGGCTGCAAGCTGAACCAGAAGCTCGAACCCAAAGTTCGCTTCACAGCCAGCCACACTGGCACTCGCTGAATCTGCGCGCCTCGCGAGTTCTGACGATCGTCATGTGATAACTGCCACGCACCTGATGGCAGGGGCCATTGGGTGCTTTGCTTGGTTCCCATTAAAGTCGACTGCGACCCGAACGCAACAAACCTAAGAGTTGGAAGGCGCAAGTTCCTCTGCCAGCGAGCTCACCCTCGGCAACCAGACTGCTGAAAGTGCGCTCCACGCCGGAAGTGCACTAATCCGCAGCACGTGGGGTTGCCAGGGCGCTCTTCACGTGACTGGGCGGAGCCTCGGGAATCTGGTAGCCAATGGTAGCCCGAGAGGGCGGTGCCTGTGACGCTCCGGGGCCTATCCCGGAAATAGGGCTGAGTGGGGGCGGGTAAGGGCGGGGAGGCTGGGGTGTGGAAAGTGTGGCGGCCCCGCCCCGTCTCTTGGAACTGCCGCGGCCGCCACCGCCGCTGCCGGCGCCGCTGCTGTAGGGGACCAGCGCGGGTGCGCAGACGAAAGGCGCTCTTTGCCAGCTGAAAGGTGAAGACCTGGGGAAAAGCTGGTGGGGAAAAGCTGGTGGGGATGGGGCCAGAGTGAGGCAGGGCCGGGGAAGGCGCCCAGAACTGAGCGCTGACCGAGAGAAAGAAGGAGAATGGATGGGGGAACAGAGGCGAGCGCGGGACCCGCCGGGGCTCAGGCCCTAGTGGGGCCGGGCCGGGCCGAGCTGAGCCCTGGATGCCGGCAGAACAGGGGGCGCCTGTGCGGCCGCGGCGGCGACGTTGAAGGGTGGAGGGCGGGGTGCGCGCCAGCTAGCAGAGGGCCGGGTGCTGCTGGCCAGGTTCTGTTACCCCGCATCCTTCGCGGGGACCTGCGGCCTGGGCTGGGTCCCCCGCAGTAGGGTTCGGGGCGGCGGCCGAGGGCTGGGCGGCGGGGGAAGGTCGCCGGCTTCTGCGGTGGGGCGATGGGGGCCGCAACCTGCTGTTTCCAGCACGGAGGAGCGCCCAGGGCGGGTGTCCCCACCCTCAGCGAGCTCCTCTGCGACTTCTCATCCCACCTCCCCAAGCAGTAGCTGGAAAAGTTTGTAGAGGCCAGAGTTAGAAAGTGGCCACTAGTCTAGGGTGGGTGTTCCTTACATGCAGAAATAACGGGCCCATGATGCTTGGCACATAACTTGTCCGAAATGAGACGTTTCCCTGCCTACATACCCGTTGTTAAAAAGCAAACACAAACTTTTTGTGTAGTTCCCACGGAAAAACTACCATCTCCCCTGCCCACCATGGCAGACGAAATTGATTTCACTACTGGAGATGCCGGGGCTTCCAGCACTTACCCTATGCAGTGCTCGGCCTTGCGCAAAAACGGCTTCGTGGTGCTCAAAGGACGACCATGCAAAATAGTGGAGATGTCAACTTCCAAAACTGGAAAGCATGGTCATGCCAAGGTAAGTACCCTTGCAGATCAGGCTTTGGCTTCGGCGTTGGGACTTTGATCATTTGTATTCCGTTACAGATCATGAGATTTCTATACTTAAAATTTTGTAATAAGCACTATTTTTTCCTTCCCACAATTACTGGGTAATCAGTTATTACGTTGAATACTTAAAGGTAGCATTCCCTTCTTGGGCCCTTACAATGTTCATTAACTGGGAACTGAAACTTTCCTGAATCCTAGTGACCTATAAGATCTATTTAGTTTACAGATGAGAAAACCTGTTCTAGCAATTCTAAGAAATCTACACTTTATTTTTCTTGTGTAATCTCATAATTGAATCACTGGTCTATATTGGGTCTTGACATGTCGTGATACTGTTTAGTTGTTTACTGCCTCTTAATTGTAAGACCACTACATTTTTTTTTAAGTAAAATTAGATGACCTTGGAAGGAGGAGAAAAAGAATCTGTTGTAATCAGCATTGGTATTGTGCTCTTGTGTGTGTAATGAGTGATATACTTGGCAGAGATTAAACAGGTTTCCTGTTCTCCTCTGTTAGGTTCACCTTGTTGGAATTGATATTTTCACGGGCAAAAAATATGAAGATATTTGTCCTTCTACTCACAACATGGATGTTCCAAATATTAAGAGAAATGATTATCAAGTAAGCACTGATTTTCTTTAGAATGTTGCTTGTTTCTTCAAGGTGCAAATACTTTGTACTATCAGTAATAATTTGACAAAACCCAAGAGTAGTTTTGTAGGTTTTTCTAACCAATTATTAGGCACCAGCTATCTTAGAAATTGGAGAAATAGTGATGTTTAACACATGTACTTTTCTAGGATTATTGCTAGTTTGCTATTTTTTTCACATTCTTGCATTTTTTAAAAAGTCAAATACTTATTAGTGTTCTCAGGCCAAGTGACTGCATATTGCAATTAAGTCCAATGTTTAGTAAAAGTACTATTCTCTCTGTTGTAAAATATTTCTTGTTCTAATTTAAAACATCCCTCCTGGATGTTTTGTTTCTTTTCACTGATCAGACCTGAGACATTCAAGAAACTACTGAAATTCATGTTCCTACCAAGTTTTTGCATTAATGAATGTTAGTCAGAACTTGACATTCTTAAGTAGAGAAATAAGTTGAAAGCCATAAATATAAAGGATAAAGTACCTGGTCACTGAGTATGGTGAAGAAAACACAAAAACTATATAATTGGTTAAATTATACTTAGTGACCATGCTATGACCTTTTGCTAAATTATGTATGTAAATTTCAAGTTTTAGTTCCAGTTATACATTTGGGTAGGTCATATTTAATGATAGCATTTTGTTGTTTGAAGTATTGATGATAACAAAATAATTGACCTTATAGGATGTGGAAGCTCAGATTACTTATAACTAAAGCTTTTCTTGAAAGTCTTCAATTTCTGTATCAAGCATACCATATATCAAACTCATTTCTGCTCATTTTACATAGTGAAAAATACAAAGTTGACACTGGTATTTGTTTTATCCGACTTAAACTGATTTTTTTCTGTACCCTTTGTTGTATTGTATAAATTTCTTTTAATGTTGCTATCAACTGCACTTACGCAATGATTTCCTTTTGCTGTTTGTCCACATGCAAACATACTTTTTTGTGGTTTTAATCTAGTAAACACTTTTATATTTTCACTTTCCTACTTGTCATAAATGTTTTCTAGGTTGCTTTGAAGTCTTTGTAGAAATTTGAATTGTCTTGCAAGTGGGTTTTTTTAACCAGGTAGATCTGGGTTTGGATCTAGTTCTGTCACTTTCTAGTTGGATGATTTTGGACAAGTTATACACCTTTCTGAGCCTGTTTTCTCATCTACAAAATAGTGATAATAGGAGGATTAAATGAGAAAATGTACCCCATTAAGAACTCCATAAGTAGATACGTACCAAAAAGTGCTGTTCTGTTTCCCCCTTTTCCTATGTAAAAATTCTACTTAATCATTTCATTATTGTTGGAGCACCAACTTTGATGTGGTACATAGTAGGTGCTCGAAAAATATTTGTTAAATGTATATGTGATTACTGAATGTGGTAGAGATAGTACAGCAGGCTAAAGTTGAGCGTAGAATGTTGTCAAAATTGGGTTTCTCTTTTCGTCTTAAAGTATGAAAGCTTTGACTATTCAATATTAATTATATTCAGTAATATTCATTCAATATAGAATGCTTTTGCCTGTTGCATGTTTCAGAAAGATGGTATCAGCAGTTCAGATAATTACTATTATACTATGATAAGGTTAGCCAGTCATTGATTGGAGCTCAAGACTTAAAGGAAAAATTTGGTTTGGGTCCTAGACTAGGATGAGGCAAATGAAGTGAGGGAGGCTCTTGCCTCAGGCACAAAATTTTAAATAAAGACAGAACTAGTAACAATGACAAGCCATATAGGAGCTCAAGGCGCAAAGAAAATTAATTCTGATCCCATCTTTATTTAGAATTTTGGTATTTTATCATAGGATTTTTGCATTAATTCTAATTTTTTAAAATATTGCATTAAAATGCCTATCTGATCACTGAGGTTTTTTTGGTGCCTTCTTTAATTTTGCACCCAAGACAAGTGTCTTACTTCACCCTTGTCCCAACCCTTGGTATGTACTCCGCACTGCAAAGTGGATAAGAGGATGATTTAAGCCAGGCAGGCCTGGTCCTAGTCTTACTTTGGCACTTAATAGCTGTGTGACCTTGGTTGACAAGTTACTTAACCTGTTTTGCTTCCATTTCTTTCTTTATAAAGCAGAGACATAAATAATAACGCCTCATGGGATCATTTTGAGGTTTAATTAGTTAATACAACAACGCCTGGCATAGAAAGTATTCAGTATTTCTCTGCTCTTCATTTTCAAGTCAGCATAGAAAAATAACTTATTTCTGTTAATTGTTTAAAAAACTAGTTCTCCAACCTGGGCAATGTGGTGAGACGCCATCTTTACAAAATACAGAAAAAAAAAAATTAGCGAGGCATGGTGGTGTACACAGCTGTAGTCCCAGCAGACCCAGAGGCTGAGGTGGGAGGATCACTTGAGCCTTGGGAGGTCAAGGCTGCACTAAGCTGTGATCACTCCACTGCACTCTAGCCTGGGCGACAGAGTGGGACCCTGTCTCAAAAACAAAAGTTCTGTGGGCCTTTCTATTTATATTTATTGTGCTATGGTGGTCTTCACTTACCTAACCAAGTGCCTTGATTAAATATCTACTCATTATTTGGCGTGTGTAATCCTTTATGTTTGCTGAATTCAATATTTTGAGTGCCAGTTCGGCAGTTGGCTAAAGAGAAATATGTATTCTGTTCATTATGATAATTAAAAAGTAAACAGGAAACAAAACGTATTAATATTTATAGTTTTAATTTTATGTGTTTTAAAATAAGTTCAGAATGAAAGAAAAATTGTCTCCTAACTTCTCTTTCAAGATTAGCTTGGATTAGAATTGCTCATTTACATTACTTCTCCCAAAAGTAGTTATAGATGTCCGGGACTGAGTGATGTTGAAAATTATAAATGCATCCAGATAGACCTTTGGGAATCCCCAAATTCATACAGAAATGCTTATTCAGACTTTAGCACTCTCTGGAATCATATTTCTTTAGAAAGTTCTGTGTTGATATGAACTTCACCACAAGTTAAATGCCGTTTCTGCATTTACTACAGTTTTACCTGTCATTTGAAAACCATTTTCCAGAAGGAAGACTAATTACTATAGACACATAAAGTATATATTGTAGACCTTTGGATTATTAGTGAATTGCCAAAACTGTGACTATTAAATTCTAGTATATTCTTCAAATAAGTAGTATATTATTTGAATGTTTAGATATGTTAATTGAATTCAAATAAGTAGTATATCATTTGAATGCTGAGATATGTTAATTGAATTCAAATAAGTAGTATATTATTTGAATGTTTAGATATGTTCATTGAATTCCTTGAGCTTAAAGTCTTTTTATAATTTTTACCTGTTTCATGGGAATCCTTGTGTTCTCAGATGGAAGCAGTCTTTCTTTGGAAATAGAAAACCTCTAAAGCAATAGGGCCCAATGTTGCGAGGACTAGAAGCAAATATTTGTTACAGGATCATTAAGGGTAATCATGAGAAGAGCCACTAACTTTAGTTCCTAGACCTGTGTATTCTACCTATAGGAAAAATAGCATCATATATTGAAATATATTGTAACCTGCAAAAAACAGCACTCCAGGCCAACAAAGTACCATTCAGCAGGTGCCATATTTGAGTCTTCACTAGGCTGATCCACAGAGGCAAGCTGTTTTGGAATGATAGGGTACGTGAGCCAGCGAATTATCTGGGTGTTGCACTGCCTTGTTACTTTGCCTGTAAAATTAGTTTTCTAGTCAGAAGTGATGCAGTGTGAGATACTATGACAGGAACGAGGCATTCTGTAAATTGAGATGAGATTTTAGCAGAAGCACTGCAGGCAAGAAAGGCAAATCCATATGCAGAGTAAAACTATTGCAATAAGAAAAAATTGCTGCCTGTTTCATGATGGAAGGGGTACAGTCAGGTGGCCAGCTGTTCTGGGAAACATATTAAGACTTCTTGTTCTTCTGTTCTGTGTTCTTCTTCTGCCATATCAAGACTGACCTGTTTCTGTGAGGTTTTCAGTAGTGGCTGTAGTCAGATCAGTCTTGGTGAGAGAAAGCCCGTGTCATTGATCCCACTGAGCAAAGATGAGAGAAGCTACAAAAAGAAGCTGAGGCCGGGCACAGTGGCTCACACCTGTAATCCCAGCACTTTGGGAGGCCAAGGCGGGCAGATCACGAGGTCAAGAGATCGAGACCATCCTGGCCAACATGGTGAAACCCCGTCTCTAATAAATACATAAATTAGTCAGGCGTGGTGGTGCATGCCTGTAATCCCAGCTACTCAGGAGGCTAAGGCAGGAGAATCACTTGAACCTGGGAGGCGGAGGTTGCAGTGAGCTAAGATCCCGCCATTGCACTCCAGCCTGGGCAACAGAGCAAGACTCCATCTCAAAAAAAAAAAAAAAAAAAGGAAGGCTTCTGTACATCTCTACAAAAAATACAAAAATTAGCCGGGTGTGGTGGCAGGCACCTGTAACCCCAGCTACTTGGGAGGCTGAGGCAGGAGAATCGATTGAACCTGGGAGGTGGAAGTTGCAGTGAGCCAAGATCACACCACTGCACTGTAGCCTGGTGACAGAGCAAGACTCGGTCTCAAAAAAAAAAAAAAAAAAAAAAAAGGCTGAATGGCATTCACACATTAGCTCATAATCAGTGCAAATCCACACTTCTGGTTCTGTCTTCTTTCAGGTCCAGTGCTTGAAGTTCTTCCCAAACCCACTTTCAGGTTGACCCCTGAATGGTGTCATCATATAATGCATAACCATCTAGAAACCATTGTGAATATTTTCCTTTCTCAGTCAGCTGGTCATAGGCAACTGTCCATCTAGTCATTGGTATCAGTTGAAGGAGAAGTGTCAGTGTGGTAAGACAAAGTGTTTTCTGAGTCTGAGCCACTTCTTATACAACTTGTTTGTACCTTTAGGTCCTTCTCAAGCTGATCTCATATATGCTACTTCCACTCAATGATGGAGAGCTGCTGTGCGTTCCCAGTTGTGTGGCTTGATGGGTCAGATGATGGGTCAGGTTATGGTGGTGTTATTTGCTTAGGCTGTACAATAATAGTGATAAAGCATTCAGTCTCTCAGATCACTGTATAATAATAGTGATCAAGCATTCAGGGACCAGCAACTCTAAGGAAGTAGCACAAGAGTGCTACACTCTGGGGGAAAAGAAGGAAGAAATAAAAAGGAATAGGTGTTACCTAAACAAGTCTGGTTGTTTTGAAATAGATTGAGAAACAAAATTAAATTCAGAAATTAGAACTAAGAAGGCACCTGTCCAGGCACTGTGGCTCACGCCGGTAATCCCAGCACTTTGGGAGGCCGAGGCAGGCGGATCACGAGATCAGGAGTTCGAGACCACCAGGGAGGTGGAGGTTGCAGTGAGCCAAGATTGCGCCACTGCACTCCAGCCTGGCGACAGAGCCAGACTCCATCTCAAAAAAAAAAAAAAAGAAGGCACCTGTAGGGATAATATACCTTCTCCAGCCTTCTGTTGTATATCAGTAGTACAAATGCAGGCAAAATAGTTTCCCAATAATTCCCCCTTTTCAGTGTTCTTTCCTATTCTGACTACATCTAAGACAGAATCTGCAGTCATTAACTCTCCCCACACTCCCTTTTAGATCATGTTTTGCTTCCTTAGCTTACTGTGCCTCCCAGCACTTAGTGGTTACAGTGCTTATTCTAGAATTCATATATACTATAGCATTTTTTGTTTCACTTTTTATTGTGGAAATTTTCAAAGTATAGTATAATGAATCCTGTGTACCTGTCACTCAGCTTCAACAATTACCAGTGTGATTAATTCTGTCTCTGCAATTTTTTGACAAAGACACTGGATCATTTCTTCTGTAGACTTTCCCACTGTATGGATTTTGCTAATTGCATTTCCTTGTTTTTTAACATGTTCCTCTGTCCCTTGTGTTTCCTGAAACTTGGTAGTAAGATATAGAGTCTTAATCAGATTCAGTTCAGATTTTTATTTTCTTCCTTTCTTTCCTTTAGCAGGACTACTCCATAATGTTCTATGCAATCATTAGATAAATAAGTCTGATTGTTTCTCCTTTTGTGATATTATCAGATATGTGAATACTGCCTCAACATATTAATTGGAGGAGAAAAAATTTATGATCTGTCATTCCTTCATTTGTTTCTCTTAGCCAGAATACTTCTATAAAAAGAAACTTCCCTTCATCAATTTTTGTTTGTTTGTTTGCCTTAAGAGACAGTACCAGTGTCTGTGCGTGTAGCGGGGGTGGGTGTATTTGACTCTTTCCCTTTAAGGTACAGTTTATAAAATAAATTGGTTCCTAGCATCCACTAAAGATGATGAAATACATATTTTTTTCATTATAAACTCGAGCATTTAAACATATTTGTGTTTCAATCCATTGTTGTTAGTGTCCTTATTTATTCTCACATTGTTCCATCTTGGCCAGTGGGAGCTTATTCAAGTTAGCTCTTGAGTCCCTTTGACATGGGCCTAATTTTAATTCTCCTTGATAGCTCCTTGCTTTTTAGTACAACAGCTTCTCCAGGTTCATCTTACACACTTCCTGATCTGGACCTGGAATTATGCAAGGAGCCCTAGAATATTTTAGTAGGAAATAAAAAATACCCCATTCTTTTTTTTTTTTTTTTTTTTTTTGAGATGGAGTCGTGCTCTGCCACCCAGGCTGGAGTGCAGCGGCGTGATCTCAGCTCACTACAACCTCTGCTTCCTGGGTTCAAGTGATGCTCCTGCCTCAGCCTCCCAAGTAGCTGGGACTCCAGGTGCCATCACATCTGGCTAATTTTTGTATTTTTAGTAGAGACGAGGTTTTGCCATATTGGCCAGGTTGGTCTCGGACTCCTGACCTCAAATGATCCGCCTGCCTTGGCCTCCCGAAGTGCTAGGATTACAGGTGTGAGCCACTGCACCCAGCCAAAAATACCACATTCTGATAGCCTTATAACCTTATATACTGCTCAGGAGCTTGGTACGCCTCCACATGCCTAACATCTCTAAAGTTTTTTGACCCTCACCTCTGCTGTCTCCCTGCTTGCTACTAACAATAATTACTTTCTACCAAAAAAAAAAATGTTCAAAAACATCTAAAAGTGATCAAATCAGTAGGTTTGTTTAAAGGTAAAGGACCAGAAGAAGATACTTACAACAATTTCCTTACCATCCCCACCTTCCAACTCTATGGAGTCAGAGAGGCCTTTGAGAGAAGATAGAAACATTTGCACAAAAATATGCTTGGGGACTTGACGATGACACTGTTGGCTTTTTTTTTTTCTTAAAGCTTGCAAATTACAAAGGGGGAAAGTGTAACTTTGGAGTGGAAAAATCTGGCAGATAACTACCTTAGTCAGCATATCAAAGTTGGCATCACTTGTAATGGGACAAATTGACATTTGCCTCCTGATAGGATACTCTGAGGACACATCATTTGTATAGTATTCCTTTCAAAAATGCATTACCTTTATCATGAGGAAACAGTGAGACAAACACAAACTGAGGAATATTCTATAAAACAGTGAACCCCCAGGAGTTTGAGACCAGCCTGGGCAACACAGGAAGACCCTGTATCTACAAAAAATAAAAATTAAAAAAATAAAAAATAAAAAAAATCCCAACAGGCATAGTGGTTGTATGCCTATGGTCCCAGTAACTCGGGAGGCTGAGTTGGGTGGATCACTTGAGCCCTGGAGGTTGAGGCTGCAGTGAGTCATGATCATGCCACCACACTCCTGCCTGCATGAAAGAGCAAGACCTGGTCTCAGAAAAACCAAACCCCCCAAAAAACAAAAAGATACCATGAAAGTTAAAGGGTGGAGGAAACTGTTAGAATTAAGAGACTAAACTGACATGATAGCCAGATAAATACAAGGTATGACCCTGGAGTTAGGGAAATAAGTTGCTATCCAGGACAATACTAGGACAATTGGCAAATTTAAATATGTACTATATATTGAATAATAGGTTATCAATATTAAATTCCCTGATTTTGAAAAATAAATTGTTGTTATCTAAGAGTATATCCTTGTTCTTGAGAAAAATACACTGAAGTTTTAATTGCTGAAAAGTCATGGCTGTTGCACTGAAGTATTTATTGCTGAAGAATCATGATCTTTGGAACTTACTCTCAATAGTTCTGTAAAAATAATAAGAATATATATGATATATATATATATTGGATGTATACATAGAGAAAATAGTGCACATGTGATTAAATGTGAACAATGGATGTATCTAGGTAAAGGATATGGGATTTCATTGCATTATTGCAACTTTTCTATAGAACTTAAGATTTTTTAATAAATAATTCAATTTAAAAGATTGTATTAGTCCATTTTCACACTGCTATAAAGAACTACCTGAAACTGAGTAACTTATAAGAAAAGAGATTTAACTGATTCACAGTTCCACATGGCTGGGGAGGCCTCAGGAAACTTACAATCATGGAGGAAGGTGAAAGGGAAGCAAGGCATGTTTTATATGGCAGCAGGAGAGACAGCAAGCAGGGGGGATCTGTCAAACACTTTTAAGCCATCAGATCTCATGAGAACTCACTTACTATCATGAGAACAGCATGAGGGAAACTGCCCCCATGATCCAATCACCTCCTACCAGGTTCCTCCCTTGACATGTGGGGATTATAATTCAAGATGAGATTTGGGTGAGGACACAGAGCCAAATCATATTATTCTGTCCCTGGCCCCTTCCAAATCTCATGTTCTCACTTTCAAAACACAATCATGCCTTCTCAACAGTCCCTGAAAGTCTTAACTCATTCCAGCATTAACCCAAAAGTCCAAGTCCAAAGTCTCATCTGAAACAAGGGAAGTCCCTTCCGCCTATGAGCCTGTAAAATGAAAAGCAAGTCAGTTACTTCCTAGAAACAATGAGGATACAGGCATTGGGTAAATACTGTTATTTCAAATGGGAGAAATTGGCCAAAACAAAGGAGCTACAGGTCCCATACAAGTCCGAAACCTAGCAGGGTAGCCATTCAGTCTTAAAGCTCCAAAATAATCTCCTTTGCCTCCATGTCTTACATCCAGGGCACACTGATCCAAAAGGTAGGCTCCCAAGGTCTTGGGCAGCTCCACCCCTGTGGCTCTACAGGGTACAGCCTCTGCAGCTGCTTTCACTGGTTGGTATTGAGTGCCTGTGGCTTTTCCAGGCACATGGTACACCATTCTGGAATCTAGAAGATGGTGACCCCCCTTCTCACAGCTCCACTAGGCAGTGTCCCAGTGGGGACTCTGTGTGGGGGATCTAACCTGACATTTCCCTTCCACACTGCCCTAGCAGAGGTTCTCCATGAGGGCTCTGCCCCTGCAGCAGACTTCTGCTTGGACCTCCAGGCATTTCATACATCCTCTGAAATCTAGGCGGAGGCTCCCAAACCTCAACTCTTGCCTTCTGTGTACCTGCAGGCCCAACACCACATGGAAGCCACCAAGGATTAGGGCTTACACTCTCTGAAGCAACAGCCCAAGCTGTACCTTGACCCCTTTTAGCCACAGCTGGAGCTGGAGTGGCTGGGACACAGGGCACCAAGTCCCGAGGCTATACAGAGCAGCAGGGCTCTGGGCCTGGCCCATGAAACCATTTTTCCCTCCTAGGCCTCTGGACCTGTGTTGGGAGGGGATGCCATGAAGATATCTGGAATGCCCTGGAGACATTTTCCCCATTGTCTTGGCTATTAATATTCAGCTCCTTGTAACTTATGCAAATTTCTGCAGCTGGCTTGAATTTCTTCCCAGAAAATGGGTTTTTCTTTTCTACTACATGGTCAGGATGTACATTTTTCAAACTTCTATGCTATGCTTCCCTTTTAAACATGAGCTCCAGTTTCAGATCATCTCTTCATGAATGCATATGACTGTACACTTTCAAAAAAAGCCAGGTTACCTCTTGCACACTTTGCTGCTTAGAAATTTCTTATGCCAGGTAACCTAAATCATCTCTCTCAAGTTCATAGTTCCACAGATCTCTAGGGCAGGGCAAAATGCTGCCAGTCTCTTTGCTAAAGCACGGCAGGAGTGACCTTTGTTCCAGTTCCCAGTGAGTTCCTCATCTCCATCTGAAACCACCTCAGCCTGGACTTCACTGTCCATATCATTGTCAGCATTTTGTTCAAATCCATTCAACAAGTCTCTAGGAAGTTTCAAATTCTCCCTCATCTTTCTTTCTTCTGAGCCCTCTAAACTGTTGCAGTCTCTGCCTGTTACCCAGTTCCAAAGTTGTTTCCTTATTTTCAGGCATCTTTATAGCAGTGGCCCAAACTCCTGGTACCAATTTTCTGTATTAGTCCTTTTTCACACTGCTATAAAGAACTACCTGAGACTGGGTAATTTATAAAGAAAAGAAATTTAATTGAGTCACAGTTCCACATGGCTATGGAGGCCTCAGGAACCACGGCAGAAGGCGAAGGGGAAGCAAGGCACATCTTACATGGCAGCAGGAGATACAGCAAGTGAGGGGGGAACTGCTAAACACTTTGAAGAGAACTCACTCACTATCATGACAACAGCATTGCGGAGACTGACCCCATGATCCAATTGCGTCCCACCAGCTCCCTCCCTCGACATGTGGGGATTACAATTCAAGATGAGATTTGGGTGGGGACACAGAGCCAAACCATATCAAAGATTAAATAATTCATTCTCATTATTTTTGTTTTTCGTAGCTTAGTTTTATTTTTGAAAACTAATTGTATTTAATATAGCAATTTATCTTAATGTTTAATGTTTGTAAATGCATTGTTTTACTAGATGTTTTATATATTTGTACATCTGAAATGCTTTATATATTTCATTCCACAGTTTATGATTCTTAACTCTTAAAAAATAAAATAGCTCCATTACATACATCATTTTCAAAATATCAGTATTATTATTTGGCTTCTGTGTTTCAGTCACTAGTGGCACAGTACGAACATTTAACTCTTGAAATAGACAAGCTGTGCTTTAGGGAATTACTAAAAGAACAGAAATCAGAAAGATTTGTCTTGGAATGTTGTGGTTGTTTAAAAATTACACTTCAAGCTAGGTGCATTGGTGCACACCTATAGTCCCAGCTCCTTGGAAGGCTAAAGCAGAGGCTCACTTGACCCCAGGAGTTCGAGGCCAGCCTAGGCAATATAATGAGACGCCCATCTTTAAAAATATATATATTTTTTAAAAAGTTACACTTCTACCTCAACCTCCTTGCTCCCACTTCTCTACCAGCCACCTCACAAATATTTGAGGGTCTAAGAGGTTAGTTAAAAGTCTTTGTTGTAGCTCTGTAGGATTTCTTATTTTTGAGATTTCTAGACATATAAAAACTCAAATTTCCTGTGATAGATGGAGTTTCTGTGGAGAGCCATAGGCAGTTTTGGTAGATGGTGTATGTGGAGGAGAGCAATCCCAACGATATGCCTGGGTTATATCATAGTGGTTACAGGGGTTCAAGGACCATTGTCTTTGACTCCTTTTGTAGATATTAGTAGCTGGTATTCTGGATGGTAGCCTTTTATAAAACATGTTAGGATTCGAGGCATACTAATAGTGTACATGCTTTTATTAATAGAATAAATGAGTGGAGGTTGGTTGTTTACTCATTCCTGTAGTAAAAGAAGTTCAGTGGTATCAAAACCGTGCTTTTTTGCAGGTTGGGTTGACAACTGGGTTTTTTTTTTTCACTAATGTTATCCATACACTAGTGGATTTTGTTGTTGTTGTTGTTGTTGACTGAAGACCAAAAGTTTTCCACTTAATTTTGTTCATACTCAAATTAGAAAATGCATTGTTTGTAATAGCAAAAATAACTTTTATGCCCAGTAATGTGAAATTGGTTAAATCAGTAATAGTATGTCCATGCAGATATGTGGTAGTTAACTAAGGTAGGTTTACATTTTCTGCTTAGAAAGTATTTATAAGACATATTATTAAGTCAAAACAGCTCACTGTAAAGTACTTATAATATCTCTTTTTTTTTTTTTTTTTTTTTTGAGACAGAGTCTCGCTCTGTCGCCCAGGCTGGAGTGCAGGGGCACGATCTTGGCTCACCGCAAGCTCCACCTCCTGGGTTCACGCCATTCTCCTGCCTCAGCCTCCCAAGTAGATGGGACTACAGGTGTCTGCCACCACACCTGGCTAATTTTTTGTATTTTTAGTAGAGATGGGGTTTCACCGTGTTAGCCAGGATGGTCTCAATCTCCTGACCTCATGATCCGCCCGCCTCGGCCTCCCAAAGTGCTGGGATTACAGGCGTGAGCCACCGCACTTGGCCCAATATCCCATTTTGATTAAAAAAAAAAACAAAACAGCAACTATATTTATTTTGTGAACATAAATGGAATACACTATAAAGAAACCTAAACTGTTTAACAAGGCAGAGATTGGGTATGGGAAGTACCGGGAGGAGTAAACTTATATTTCCATTCTGTACATATTTTATATTTTTTATATTTTTAGCATTTTAAATACCAAGAATATTAATATATTACTGTATACTTATATGAATTAATATCAATTGCAATTTAACTATGTAAGCATTACACAGAAGTGGATATAATCTAATCAGCACAAATGATATAATTTCTTCTAATAGCTGATATGCATTCAAGATGGTTACCTTTCCCTGCTGACAGAAACTGGTGAAGTTCGTGAGGATCTTAAACTGCCAGAAGGTGAACTAGGCAAAGAAATAGAGGGAAAATACAATGCAGGTGAAGATGTACAGGTAAAGACTTAGAGAAGGATTATTTTTGAAAACCATTTTATAAAAACTTTGACCTCAACTAGTTAACATAAAATACTACATATGGAATGTGGTTTAAAAATACTGCTAAAATGTTGAAAATGATCTCTCAGGCAGGTTTTCCATAAAACCCTTAGAGACTCATTATCAAAGAAAGTATCAAAGTTCATTTTTGCTACATCAGCATTACTCTCAAACCCAAATTTGTTTTGAAGCTCTGCACCTGACTTTTTTTTTTTTTTTGAGACGGAGTCTCCCTCTGTCACCCAGGCTGGAGTGCAGTGGCGTGATCTCGGCTCATTGCAACCTCCGCGTCCCAGGTTCAAGCGATTCTCCCCTCAGCCTCCTGAGTAGCTGGGATTGCAGGCGCGTGCCACCACATCTGGCTAATTTTTGTATTTTTAGTAAAGATTGGGTTTCAGCATGTTGGCCAAGCTGGTTTTGAACTCCTGACCTCAGGTGATCCCCCAACCTTGGCCTCCCAAAAGTGCTGGGATTACAGGCCTGAGCAAGGCGCCCAGCCCTGAGCTATTCTTACAGGTAAGAAATGATGCTAGTGGAATGTTAAAGAGTGAAGGAGATTTACTGTCTTCGTTACAACTTTCAGAAATGTAACGGGTAGTAAGTGTTCAAACATTTATAGTTATTTTTCCTGTTCCCTGGAAGTTGTCTTACAAACCACTCTGAGAAATTCTGCTTTAGAAAACTGTAAAGAAAGTAGCTTGTTTTGGAATACCCCTTTCAGAAGTCCATATGTACAAAATATCCACAAATATACAATATATGAGGAACTAATTATATCTTCTATATGTATTGTCTTCTGAATAACGTTTTGCCTGCTTTTTTCCTTCTAGGTGTCTGTCATGTGTGCAATGAGTGAAGAATATGCTGTAGCCATAAAACCCTGCAAATAAACGGAAACATCAGGCATGAACACTGTTTATGTCTGAATCAACTGCAGATCTAATTTGGTTCTAAGTTGTCACCAAAGCTATAGCCTTCATAAGCAACCTCATTTCTTTTTTTAATTGTTTTCAGATTGTGCTGGGTTAGTTTTGCAAGCAATTGATAATTTTTAAAAAATTATCAATATGTATAATTTTTTTTGAATTTTGTAGATATGTTTCCTATAATATTCCTGTGGTTTTCAGTATGTCAGTCCAAGAAACAAACAAGATAGCTTCAGCAGATGTGATTTGTCTGAGCAAATCATTCCTGTGTTTTAGTTAGATGATAAACCAGGGTTTTAAATCAAACAATGTAGCATAAAGTGGTATTGAAGTACCATATTTAAGTTGAACTGCTCTGCATTAATTACAGATTTAATATAAAATGAACTGATTATATATTGGAATTGTTGCACTTTCAGCCTGTGTAGGGCAAACACAAATCCTTAAACAAAAATCATGTTATCAAAAACTGTCAGTTATTTTGGTGGCCACATGCAACCATGTGATTACTTTGGTCATACTATTTACCAAATTGTTGGCAAACTTGATGTAACCTTATATGGTGGTTTTAGTCCCTTCTTATGGTTGGCAGAAGGGCACTGAACTGTTGGGTGAAAGTTAGTTAGCAAGTAAGATTATAAGGAAGACACAAAAGACAGTGGCAAAGAGGGTTGATTAAATCTATAAGTTTTTATGTGAGGACTTTGTAAGTCAGCATAAAAATGAAAAGTTGTTTCTCAGTTGTTTTTGCTTTTAACTTTGCCCCCAACGTTTAAAGGGAGTGATCTGCTTTACATGATACTATGCAATGCTTGTTTTCCAACTATGTTGAATAAATAGTAATATTTATCAGTAAATACTCCTTTCCAACTTCCTTTTTTTTTTTTTTTTTTTTGAGACTGAGTCTCACTCCATCAGCCAGGCTGGAGTGCAGTGGTGCAATCTCGGCTCACTGCAACCTCTGCCTCCCGAGTTCAAGCAATTCTCCTGCCTCAGCCTCCCAAGTAGCTGGGACTACAGGTGCATGCCACCACGCCCAGCTACTTTTTTGTGTATTTTAGTAGAGATGGGGTTTCACCATGTTGTCTAGGCTGGTCTTGAACTCCTGACCTCAGGTGATCCACCTGCCTCAGCCTCCCAAAGTGCTGGGATTACAGGCATGAGCCACCACACCCAGCCCCTTTCCAACCATTTCTAAGTAGATTTTTTGACATTAATGTATTTATTAAACAAAAACTGAGAATTCCTTAAATTGATTTGGAATTTTTGTTAATTTTATGTCCTTTTTTTCCTAAAGTGAATTAAAGTGAATCATGGAAGCAGCATTACTTTATATGAATATTATTATTTAAGTTAAGTTATTTTAAGTATATGCATTTTTTCTGATTGTTGTGTGACTTAATTCAGTTGCTGGTGTGAACTATAACTAGCAAATAATTCTATAAACTGAATTATTTTAAAAGGTATTTTAGGTGACACCACTGCATTTCTATTTCATCTTTTGAGTCATATGTATATTATTTCCAGAATTTTAGACATTATTACAGGGTTTGTGAGGACCTTTGACTCAGTGACAATCATCATATTGGAGCAAAACATAGAACAAAATCACTATCTCAGAAATACCTTAATTCTCTAAGACTGGCTCTTAGACCTCTCCCATCATGCCTTGACCTCTAAAAAGCCCTTTGTTCCTATCTTCTAAAGGAAAGTATATCATATATGATGATGTAACTGATCTAATCAGTGACTGGAAATAGCATTAGTAACAGAAGATCCCAAGTTTTAGTTGCTTAATTTGTACACACTTTTAAATATTGTCTTAGCCTCGGCAAACCAATTTGGGGAAGAAGCAAGATACTTTAAGAGAAATACAAAGGAAATTTCTAAAGCACAAGAAATAGTGAGGTAGTAGTTAGTCGTCTTTCCTACAACATTTTAGCTTTTGCCCATCTAAAGCACAATTAAAATTAGGCTACATTCTTTCCAGTATTCTATTTAAGTACCTACTACATACTGCTCTAGTTTCTTAGTACTCTGTAATGTGTATCTTAATTGCTACTGGTTGGCATTGTAACTCATAGGAATTCCAGAAAATTATTAATCCGTGCTGCTTGCAGTTCATTCATATGGCCCCTCTTAACCATGCTGGTGTTATGATTCAGTATTAACTCTCAATTAGCATGCCCCTGTTCTT
Organism: Homo sapiens; assembly: GCF_000001405.40. Lineage (NCBI taxonomy): Eukaryota > Metazoa > Chordata > Mammalia > Primates > Hominidae > Homo > Homo sapiens. The sequence goes on along the minus strand of NC_000003.12, from coordinate 170,891,126 downwards.
CCTAACTTGTAAAATTTCACATAAATATATTTTCAATTGTGTACAAATTAAGGGTGTACAAATTATAATAATGCATCTCTATCTTCATACTTTGAATGGCAAACGCTATTTATGCATAAATATTTTCATTTTAAGTAATATATGAAGTGTAAATACTCGATATATAAGTATAGATTTTAAAGATATGGGACTTTATTTTCACATAAGTCAATAGATGTTTCTCTAGAACAAAATATTTAGTAAAGCTTTATAAATTATATTAAAAGGAAGCGGGGAACATGTATTTTTTAACATAGAACAGAAGTGACTTCATTCTTTTTAGACATCAGAAATGTTAAAGTTGATTCCCAATATTTGTTGTACTTTTTTGTAGCAAATGTTAAAAATCACGAGTTACCATGTATAGAATGTGGACTGTCATGTTGATATCATTGTACAGTGATAAGCCATTTTTATCTGTATACATTTCACCAATTTATTAACAGGTTGAATATTTGTTTCTTTTTAGAACATTTTATTTATACTGTGAAGACTTTGTTATACCTTATTTGCTACAACATAGATCATATCATTGCTACTTTGACTTAGCATTTGCATCATAAACATAATTATGATGTTTTTTTCATGCTCCCTTCCAGGGGCTCAGTCACTTGAAGAAACTGTTGCTAACCAAGCTCTTGACTCTGTTTCCCTTAATGATACAAGTCTCTGTACCAGCGCTTTATGTTAATTACCAAAACTCTCCTGCATCAGAGCATGATATCTATAATAGGAGATACTGCAATAAAATGATTAGGCTGTAAAATTTGGAGACACAATTTTTCATTACAATGCAATTTGCATGTGCACATGTGCGCACATAACTTTATATGTTAGTTCTTTTTTCCAAACTCCCAACTCTTAAAAGTATTGTAGTCTGTTGGTGCCTCAACTGTTGGTAACTTTTTTTTTTTAAATTTACAACTTTCCACAACTTGTTTTTGTACTTTAAGGTTTCTCAATTAGAATATTTCTAGTTGAGCTGTAATTTGAATGCATTGTTCTCAGGGCTATTTGTGCTAAAAGCTGAAATTTCATTATTTTAAAGCTAATTGCCTGAAAATATATTGGCAGAATTTTCCCAAATTGTAATAACTGTGATACATGCATATAAAAAAATCCTTAATGTCAACACACTTAAACTACATGCTAAATAGTCAAGAAAAAAATGGAAACAGTAGCATCCATACTGGAATCTTGCCATATTTTTTTCATTTTAGAATAGATTTTGGCAGTCTCATCTTAGAATCCTATCCTTAGGATACATCTGAAAGCATTCCTTTGGCATGGACCCCAGAGATAGTTTTGGAGCCAGGCATTGATGTAGAGGTTCACCAAACATATTTAGGGATAATAGATAAATTCATAATGCTTTTTTGGGTACACTGAAATGTTTACATACTGAATTCTGTAATATGAACTAGGAACGCATTTACTATGAGAAAATATGGCTCTTAAGCAGTGTAAGAGTGAAAATATAAGCATATTTCCATTAACAGTATATTGTACTGATCAGCAGCTCTCATTTTAACATCAGTTAGGCATAATATTTCATAGTTTTCAAGCCTTTTTTTTCTGCTAACATTCAGACAAGTAACAGGCAACAAAGATTTAAGAAAAATTTATGGTGGAAAACCTTAAAAATTGAGACAATTCAATCTATTTAATCTATTAAATTTTTTCTCTGAATTGGGTATATGGCATCATTATTTGATTTTAGCAGGGAACATTTGGATTTAGCTTATGAAACACAGATGTTCTATGGGAACATGGCTTGAAGCCAATATGTAATTTAATGTTTTTCCATTAAACAAACATCTGAACACCAACTTAGCTACCAAGTGAGGTCAAGTGCCTGAAAAGTACTGTATACATCTAATAAGCATGTTTTCCTTATGTAAAAGATGCACTTTATGGCAATGCATACCAGGCTTTCACCTGCTAGAAACATACTTGTTGCCAACTTTGCCATCTACCACTATTCTCCTCCTTAGAACAGGTAGAAACCTATTTTACAAAAAAAAAAAAAAAAAAAAAAAGACAGGTTATTGTATTTATATGAAGTCCCTAAAACTGTTTCTTGGTATTGATAGACTTAAGTTTATCTTAGTTCAAGATTGCACTTTTTAAAAAACTCTGGACTATTTTCAGCAATGACCGAACAGCTTGTCACACATCATAGTTGTGATCTTTTTTGAGGAGTTATTTATTGTGGTTAATATCTACTATAAATAAGCATTCTTGTGCTTGTTACAAAGCATAATGCAAATTACTAGTTCTATACTAGTATAATGAAAATGACTAGTTCTATACTGTTATGTACTTTTGTCTTCCTCCCCAAAAAGGAAACAGTTTAGCATTGTCTAAATTCAGTGGCACTTTTTTAGTAATACATTTTTTTTTCTTAGATACAGGAGAACTATTGCTTTTACCTGCAGAAACTCAAATGTTTTCGCTAAAACTTTAAAATTCTAAAATACGTAGTATGGGTATTACTAATTGTACATTTTACATTTCAAAAATAGTTAAAATTCAAATGTTAAGTCTTTGACTTAAAAAACCTTTAAATATAGATAATACCTTAACAATTATAACTTTGTGATATTATTAAAATATATTTGTCTGTTAACTTCATCAGTTGTATTAAATAAAAATAGTTAACAGCTTGCACTATTCTTGTACATATACATCTTTAAAACAATTTCATACCCAAAAATTGTATGACTTAAGCGTATGTCACTTTAAAAGAAAATCTAACTTGTTTTTATTGAGTACTTTTATATTCTAGGTCCTTACGTAGTGCCCTCGCATTATGACTGGGACTATTAATTTCTAAATTTTAGTTTGAGGTTTAGGTACAATTTTATTTTTAAATGTTTAATGTTTTTTAAACTATATAAAATAGTCACTTGGTTCAAAATTCAGCAGGTACAAAAGACTAAAGACATTTTCCCCTCTTCATCCCCTTCCTATGTGTCCTTCCAGAGATATTTAATGTAGGAGAGGGCAATGCTACTTCCCTCACCCCTGATTTCCCAGGGTGTGAGGTGTTTCTTTCCTACAAGCTGGGGTTGCTTTTCCCTTTCCACAACATGAGTGGTGTGATAATTCCCTGAAGCAAACGCTTCACCCTTTTGCCAATCCTCACCATGTCTAATCCACACCAACTGGACATGTTCATTTCTAGGTGGCTCGGTGGTTTCTTCCTTATACACTGTACCATTCTAGAACATCCCTCTTGCTCCCCAACAGGTGAGCCATGCCAGAGATACCATGGCAGTTGTCACCTTGTATCTATGATCATTACAAATATCCATAATCTACCAGATCCACAACGCAAAGTTGGGCAGTAAAAGAAGTACCAGTTAAAGTCTTCTAGCCTGTATCCCCACTCCTTTTTGCCACTTGCAAATTCGGTAGCCCAGTTACCCAGAGGGAGGCATAGGAGGGAAAACGAAGACTGAAAAGGGCTAATATGAGTTTTGTCTCTTACAATTTATCTGCATCTTATCCTTCCCCCACCCCCCATCATTAAATCATTAAACATTCTATCCAAATAGAATGCCCTTCTGTGGAACTGCATATTTGGAAACCATACTGCCTGTTTAACTTATGCACTCCACTGGGAACTTACAGTATCTGTTTCCCACAATACTTGCAGTCATATCAGTTACAACCGCTGGGTGTGTATTGGTTCAAAAGGACCTACCTACAAGGTTATATCAATCCATTGTCCAATTTGAGAGATTTTTTCTGAATCCAGTTAAAATAATTTTTGGCTACACCTGGGGACACTTCCCAGGACAACAATGACTTGTAGTCTAGTGCCCAAGAAAGCCAAAAAGGCCCGGCAACCTTGGTTGCCACCAGATCCCCAACAGACAGATTCTAAGGGAGAAGAGAAGTTCATCAACTAACACTCACAGTGTGTCTGCATTTTTCCTTCATAATTATGTGAGTTTCACTTAATGGGGCTGTCACTGTAGCTCATTTTAATTGCTATAAATCAATGAGGTAAATCTTTTGCATATATATCAAATATTACCATCCTGATGTTAGAGATTTTCTTTCCAAGGCAAATAGAACTTTCACCAAAAAAAAAGGATACTTAGAGCACAAAGAAAATAGCAGTAGCTTCTATAAAGCAGAAATATTAAAAACACTGTTACCAGTCCCAAGTGAAATTAAAAACAAAACTAGAAAATAAAAAGGTCTTTCTAACTAGCAATTTAAAACCTATTATGCAGGGTACAATGAAAGGGGAAATACAAAAATTAAGGAATTCCTGAAAGATAATGAAAATACTATATATCAGAATCCATGTAAAAGTATTATCAGGAAAATTCATTGCCCTACCATCTATATAAATAAAAATGACAGAATGAACATAAATAGTAAATCAAACAGCTAGAAAAATAAACCAAAAGGAAGCACACAGGAGGAAGTAACAATAACAAAAGCAGAAATTAATAAATAAGAAAAATAGCAAATAGATTAAAATACTAGCTCTTTGAAAAATTAACAAAATAGATCGATCATTAGCTATTATTTAATAAAGCACAAATATAAAAAATGAGAAATGACAAGGAATAACTAATGCAGAGGAAATAAAAATAAAAACTGCAAATCTCTGCACATAAATTTGAAAACCTAGATGATATAGTTTCTTAGGAAAATGTGTTTATTAAAATTGACCTCAATAAAGATGGAAAGCTTAAACAGTAATTTTAATAGAACTACAGAAAGTTGTCAAGAAACTGTCCCACAAAGAAACCAAGCTGGGGTTGCTGTTCCCACAAAGAAACGAACCAAACAAAACCAGGTCCAAATGGTTTCACAGGAGAATGTTACCAAACTTTTAGAGACCATATGGTCCTAACGTTATGTACAATGTTTCAGAACAGGGAAAATAAACAATCTAAATTCTTTTTAGGAAGCAAACATTGATACTAAACCTGTTAAAAATAACAAAAAATATATTAAGGCAAAAATCCTAATATAATACTAGTTTTTAGACTCAAACACCACGTGAAGAAAGTAATACACTATGTCTACATGGAGTGTCTATCAGAAATGTAAGAATGGTTCAATATTAGAAAATCTATTAATATAGCTCACTATCATAGGACATATATTAATATATTGGGAAATCTTTTCATAGCATTTTCTATATTAATAGGCCTAAAGGGAAAAAATAAGGCTGGGCATGGTGGCTAATGCCTGTAATCCGAAGCGGATGGATGGCTTGAGCCCAGGATTTGAGACCAACTTGGGCAACATAGCGAAACCCCCTTCTCTATAAAAAAAATACAATTAGCCAGGTGTGGTGGAGGGCACCGGTAGTCTCAGCTGCTCAGGAGGCTGAGGTGGGATGATCACTGGAGCTCAGGGGGTGGAGGCTACAGTGAGCTGTGATTGCGCCTGCACTCCACTCTGGGTGAGACAGCAAGACACTGTTTCAAATACACAAATAAATAAATTGAAAAAACATATGATGTTCTGCACACATACTGAAAAAAAACTTGGGTAAAACAAGATCCATTCTTAAAACATCTCTTTAGAAAACAGAGATGTATGAATACTTATTTGATGTAAATGTATTTATGTTTATGTATGTTAACATGGTACACCTAACATTAGCTATGTATGTGTATGTATACATATGTATAAATATGTGCATATATATGTGTGTGTGTCTTTGCATAAAATTCCAAAAGCTAGCCTTTTCCTTGGTGGAGAAATGCTAAAGGCAGTCTCACTAAGGTCAAGAACTAGACAACAATGCTCAATATCTTGACCCCTATTGTTTTGGAATTATTAGCTAGTACAAGTGGACAATAGAAAACAGACATATTAAAATTGTAAGAATAAAAGAAAAGACTATTTTCTGTTTTCAGATGATCTGACAGTATATCTGGAAAATCCCAGATAATGATAAAGCAAACTCAAACAATAAAGTTATTCATCGAGGTAGCAGGAAATGAAATTAACATGCAAAAATAAATAGCTTTATATATACAAATAATAACCAATTAGAATACATAATGAAAGGAAAATGTTCAAAGCCTATACAAAGATAACTATAAAGCACTCCCAAGAGACAGAGTTGACCTGAACAAATTCCATATTCTTGGTTGATAGCTAGTTAGTAAGATGATAGTTCTACCTAATTTAATTTATAATTTTAATACAGTCTTAATAAAAATATCAAGTTTTTTTAATGAAGTTAAACAAGTTGTTAATAAAGTTCATATGGAAAAATGAATATGCAAGAATCACTAGGAAAATAATGAAAAGACAGAGCTGAGTGGGGACTAGCATTACCAGAAACTAAAACATATTACAAAGCCTCTATATCAAAACAGTGAGGTACTGGCAAGTGAATAGACAGATCAATGGAATAGTATAGAAAATCCAGAATAGATCCAGATACACATAGAAATTTAATATACGATCAAGATAGTATTGCAAATCACTGGGCAAAGATTGACATACATTGGAAAGGGAGGAGCCAAGATGGCCGAACAGGAACAGCTCCAGTCTACAGCTCCCAGCGTGAGCAACGCAGAAGACGGGTGATTTCTGCATTTCCATCTGAGGTGCCGGGTTCATCTCACTAGGGAGTGCCAGACAGTGGGCACAGGTCAGTGGGTGCACGCACTGTGCACGAGCCGAAGCAGGGTGAGGCATTGCCTCACTTGGGAAGCGCAAGCGGTCAGGGAGTTCCCTTTCTGAGTCAAAGAAAGGGGTGACAGACGGCACCTGGAAAATCGGGTCACTCCCACCCGAATACTGTGCTTTTCCGATGGGCTTAAAAAAAGGCGCACCACGAGATTATATCCCACACCTGGCTCGGAGGGTCCTACGCCCACGGAGTCTTGCTGATTGCTAGCACAGCAGTCTGAGATCAAACTGCAAGGCGGCAGCGAGGCTGGGGGAGGGGCGCCCGCCATTGCCCAGGCTTGATTAGGTAAACAAAGCAGCCTGGAAGCTCCAACTGGGTGGAGCCCACCACAGCTCAAGGAGGCCTGCCTGCCTCTGTAGGCTCCACCTCTGGGGGCAGGGCACAGACAAACAAAAAGACAGCAGTAACCTCTGCAGACTTAAATATCCCTATCTGACAGCTTTGAAGAGAGCAGTGGTTCTCCCAGCAGGCAGCTGGAGATCTGAGAAAGGGCAGACTGCCTCAAGTGGGTCCCTGACCCCTGACCCCCGAGCAGCCTAACTGGGAGGCACCCCCCAGCAGGGGCACACTGACACCTCACACGGCAGGGTATTCCAACAGACCTGCAGCTGAGGGTCCTCTCTGTTAGAAGGAAAACTAACAAACAGAAAGGACATCCACACCAAAAACCCATCTGTACATCACCATCATCAAAGACCAAAAGTAGATAAAACCACAAAGATGGGGAAAAAAACAGAACAGAAAAAATGGAAACTCTAAAAAGCAGAGCGCCTCTCCTCCTCCAAAGGAACGTAGTTCCTCACCAGCAACGGAACAAAGCTGGATGGAGAATGACTTTGACAAGCTGAGAGAAGAAGGCTTCAGACGATCAAATTACTCTGAGCTACGGGAGGACATTCAAACCAAAGGCAAAGAAGTTGAAAACTCTGAAAAAAATTTAGAAGAATGTATAACTAGAATAACCAATACAGAGAAGTGCTTAAAGGAGCTGATGGAGCTGAAAACCAAGGCTCGAGAACTACATGAAGAATGCAGAAGCCTCAGGAGCCGATGCGATCAACTGGAAGAAAGGGTATCAGCAATGGAAGATGAAATGAATGAAATGAAGTGAGAAGGGAAGTTTAGAGAAAAAAAATAAAAGAAATGAGCAAAGCCTCCAAGAAATATGGGACTATGTGAAAAGACCAAATCTATGTCTGATTGGTGTACCTGAAAGTGATGGGGAGAATGGAACCAAGTTGGAAAACACTCTGCAGGATATTATCCAGGAGAACTTCCCCAATCTAGCAAGGCAGGCCAACGTTCAGATTCAGGAAATACAGAGAACGCCACAAAGCTACTCCTCGAGAAGAGCAACTCCAAGACACATAATTGTCAGATTCACCAAAGTTGAAATGAAGGAAAAAATGTTAAGGGCAGCCAGAGAGAAAGGTCAGGTTACCCTCAAAGGGAAGCCCATCAGACTAACAGCGGATCTCTCGGCAGAAACCCTACAAGCTAGAAGAGAGTGGGGGCCAATATTCAACATTCTTAAAGAAAAGACTTTTCAACCCAGAATTTCATATCCAGACAAACTAAGCTTCATAAGTGAAGGAGAAATAAAATACTTTACAGACAAGCAAATGCTGAGAGATTTCGTCACCACCAGGCCTGCCTTACAAGAGCTCCTGAAGGAAGCACTAAACATGGAAAGGAACAACTGGTACCAGCCGCTGCAAAATCATGCCAAAATGTAAAGACCATCGAGACTAGGAAGAAACTGCATCAACTAATGAGCAAAATAACCAGCTAACATCATAATGACAGGATCAAATTCACACATAACAATATTAACTGTAAATGTCAATGGACTAAATGCTCCAGTTAAAAGACACAGATTGGCAAATTGGATAAAGAGTCAAGACCCATCAGTGTGCTGTATTCAGGAAACCCATCTCACGTGCAGACACACACATAGGCTCAAAATAAAAGGATGGAGGAAGATCTACCAAGCCAATGGAAAACAAAAAAAGGCAGGGGTTGCAATCCTAGTCTCTGATAAAACAGACTTTAAACCAACAAAGATCAAAAGAGACAAAGAAGGCCATTACATAATGGTAAAGGGATCAATTCAACAAGAAGAGCTAACTATCCTAAATATATATGCACCCAATATAGGAGCACCAAGATTCATAAAGCAAGTCCTGAGTGACCTACAAAGAGACTTAGACTCCCACACATTAATAATCGGAGACTTTAACACCCCACTGTCAACATTAGATAGATCAACGAGACAGAAAGTTAACAAGGATACCCAGGAATTGAACTCAGCTCTGCACCAAGCGGACCTAATAGACATCTACAGAACTCTCCACCCCAAATCAACAGAATATACATTTTTTTCAGCACCACACCACACCTATTCCAAAATTGACCACATACTGGGAAGTAAAGCTCTCCTCAGCAAATGTAAAAGAACAGAAATTATAACAAACTATCTCTCAGACCACAGTGCAATCAAACTAGAACTCAGGATTAAGAATCTCACTCAAAACCACTCAACTACATGGAAACTGGACAACCTGCTCCTGAATGACTACTGGGTACATAACGAAATGAAGGCAGAAATAAAGATGTTCTTTGAAACCAACGAGAACAAAGACACAACATACCAGAATCTCTGGGACACATTCAAAGCAGTGTGTGGAGGGAAATTTATAGCACTAAATGCCCACAAGAGAAAGCAGGAAAGATCCAAAATTGACACCCTAACATCACAATTAAAAGAACTAGAAAAGCAAGAGCAAACACATTCAAAAGCTAGCAGAAGGCAAGAAATAACTAAAATCAGAGCAGAACTGAAGGAAATAGAGACACAAAAAACCCTTCAAAAAATTAATGAATCCTGGAGCTGGTTTTTTGAAAGGATCAACAAAATTGATAGACCGCTAGCAAGACTAATAAAGAAAAAAAGAGAGATGAATCAAATAGACGCAATTAAAAATGATAAAGGGGATATCACCACCGATCCCACAGAAATACAAACTACCATCAGAGAATACTACAAACACCTCTACGCAAATAAACTAGAAAATCTAGAAGAAATGGATAAATTCCTCGACACATACACTCTCCCAAGACTAAACCAGGAAGAAGTTGAATCTCTGAATAGACCAATAACAGGAGCTGAAATTGTGGCAATAATCAATAGCTTACCAACCAAAAAGAGTCCAGGACCAGATGGATTCACAGCCGAATTCTACCAGAGGTACAAGGAGGAACTGGTACCATTCCTTCTGAAACTATTCCAATCAATAGAAAAAGAGGGAATCCTCCCTAACTCATTTTATGAGGCCAGCATCATTCTGATACCAAAGCCAGGCAGAGACACAACAAAAAAAGAGAATTTTAGACCAATATCCTTGATGAACATTGATGCAAAAATCCTCAATAAAATACTGGCAAAACGAATCCAGCAGCACATCAAAAAGCTTATCCACCATGATCAAGTGGGCTTCATCCCTGGGATGCAAGGCTGGTTCAATATACGCAAATCAATAAATGTAATCCAGCATATAAACAGAGCCAAAGACAAAAAACCACATGATTATCTCAATAGATGCAGAAAAAGCCTTTGACAAAATTCAACAACCCTTCATGCTAAAAACTCTCAATAAATTAGGTATTGATGGGACGTATTTCAAAATAATAAGAGCTATCTATGACAAACCCACAGCCAATATCATATTGAATGGGCAAAAACTGGAAGCATTCCCTTTGAAAACTGGCACAAGACAGGGATGCCCTCTCTCACCACTCCTATTCAACATAGTGTTGGAAGTTCTGGCCAGGGCAATTAGGCAGGAGAAGGAAATAAAGGGTATTCAATTAGGAAAAGAGGAAGTCAAATTGTCCCTGTTTGCAGACGACATGATTGTATATCTAGAAAACTCCATTGTCTCAGCCCAAAATCTCCTTAAGCTGATAAGCAACTTCAGCAAAGTCTCAGGATACAAAATCAATGTACAAAAATCACAAGCATTCTTATACACCACCAACAGACAAACAGAGAGCCAAATCATGAGTGAAGTCCCATTCACAATTGCTTCAAAGAGAATAAAATACCTAGGAATCCAACTTACAAGGGATGTGAAGGACCTCTTCAGGGAGAACTACAAACCACTGCTCAAGGAAATAAAAGAGGATACAAACAAATGGAAGAACACTCCATGCTCATGGGTAGGAAGAATCAATATCATGAAAATGGCCATACTGCCTAAGGTAATTTACAGATTCAATGCCATCCCCATCAAGCTACCAATGACTTTTTTCACAGAATTGGAAAAAACTATTTTAAAGTTCATATGGAACCAAAAAAGAGCCCACATCGCCAAGTCAATCCTAAGCCAAAAGAACAAAGCTGGAGGCATCATGCTACCTGACTTCAAACTATACTACAAGGCTACAGTAACCAAAACAGCATGGTACTGGTACCAAAACAGAGATATAGATCAATGGAACAGAACAGAGCCCTCAGAAATAACGCCGCATATCTACAACTATCTGATCTTTGACAAACCTGACAAAAACAAGCAATGGGGAAAGGATTCCCTATTTAATAAATGGTGCTGGGAAAACTGGCTAGCCATATGTAGAAAGCTGAAACTGGATCCCTTCCTTACACCTTATACAAAAATCAATTCAAGATGGATTAAAGACTTAAACGTTAGACCTAAAACCATAAAAACCCTAGAAGAAAACCTTGGCATTACCATTCAGGACATAGGCATGGGCAACGACTTCATGTCTAAAACACCAAAAGCAATGGCAACAAAAGACAAAATTGACAAATGGGATCTAATTAAACTCAAGAGCTTCTGCACAGCAAAAGAAACTACCATCAGAGTAAACAGGCAACCTACAAAATGGGAGAAAATTTTCGCAACCTACTCATCTGACAAAGGGCTAATATCCAGAATCTACAATGAACTCAAACAAATTTACAAGAAAAAAACAAACAACCCCATCAAAAAGTGGGCGAAGGACATGAACAGACACTTCTCAAAAGAAGACATTTATGCAGCCAAAAAACACATGAAAAAATGCTCATCATCACTGGCCATCAGAGAAATGCAAATCAAAACCACAATGAGATACCATCTCACACCACTTAGAATGGCAATCATTAAAAAGTCAGGAAACAACAGGTGCTGGAGAGGATGTGGAGAAATAGGAACACTTTTACACTGTTGGTGGGACTGTAAACTAGTTCAACCATTGTGGAAGTCAGTGTGGCGATTCCTCAGGGATCTAGAACTGGAAATACCATTTGACCCAGCCATCCCATTACTGGGTATATACCCAAAGGATTATAAATCATGCTGCTATAAAGACACATGCACACGTATGTTTATTGCGGCATTATTCACAATAGCAAAGACTTGGAACCAACCCAAATGTCCAACAATGATAGACTGGATTAAGAAAATGTGGCACATATACACCATGGAATACTATGCAGCCATAAAAAAGGATGAGTTCATGTCCTCTGTGGGGACATGGATGAAATTGGAAATCATCATTCTCAGTAAACTATCGCAAGAACAAAAAACCAAACACCGCATATTCTCACTCATAGGCGGGAATTGAACAATGAGATCACATGGACACAGGAAGGGGAATATCACACTCTGGAGACTGTTGTGGGGTGGGGGGAGGGGGGAGGGATAGCATCAGGAGATATACCTAATGCTAGATGACGAGTTAGTGGGTGCAGCGCACCAGCATGGCACATGTATACATATGTAACTAACCTGCACAATGTGCACATGTACCCTAAAACTTAAAAGTATAACTAAAAAAAAAAAGGAAGAAAGAAAGGGAGTAGAACAATAAGTCAATTATGCATTCCTCTCATGCTCAATAAATCTATATTTTACATAAGAGAAAGTAAATATGTGAAATTACAGCTATCTGTCTGGGGACAGAAGGAAGGCAGTTTTTGCATGACTCAGTTCCCAAGCTTAACTTCTCCTTTGGCATAGTGAGTTTGGGGTCCCAAGATTCTATTTTCCTTTCACACTTTTCTGGCACATAAGTTGTATTTAACATATGAAGGGAAGCCCAATTTTATTGTAAACAAATATTTTAAAGTACTCTGTTTATCTGTTGCTTATATAAGGAATATTTGGTTGCTGCAAAATAAAACCATAAGTTTTATAACAAAAAAAAAAAAGATTGACATACATTAATTGTTTTAGGACAACTAGAAAAATAAGATGAATTCCATACAACATACATATGAATAAACTACAAATGAAGCAGAGATCTAAATGAAAGCAATAAAACTATACAAGTCCTAGAAGAAAACATGAGTGACTTCCTCTGTAACCTGGCTTTAACAAAACTGGTTGGAAGTCCAGAAACAATAAAAGAGGTATATGTGTTGGTGAGACAGAGAACAAATAAGTGGGACAAAATAAGTAAAAATCTGGATAAAGGGAGGGTGTGTGTGTGTGTGTGCTTTGAACTGTTTTTACAATCTTTTATAACGTTTAAATTACTTCTAAATAAAATTTTTTGAACTCAAAAAGTATATATAGTACCATCCAATCTTTATAAATTTATGTCATCTAAAGGAGATAGATAGATAGATAGATGTAAGTAGATAGACAGATGCACACAGACATGTTTACAGACATGCACATCTCCAAAGCATTTAATAGCTATTTCTGAGCAAGTGGGGTTTTACATATTTTTATGCATTATATTTTTGGTTTCTCTATATTTTCTTGCATGAACATTTCTTTTCACATAAGATAATTTTGTTAATTAAGAAAGTTCTGGCTGGGCGCAATGGCTCACACCCCAACACTTTGGGAGGCCGAGGCAGGCAGATCACTTGAGGTCATCAGGAGTTCAAGACCAGCCTGGCCAACATGGTGACACCCCGTCTCTACTAAAAAATACAAAAATTAGCTGGGCATGGTGGTGCATGCCTGTAGTCCCGGCCACTTGGGAGGCTGAGGCAGGAGAATGGCATGAACCTGGGAGGCAGAGCTTGCAGTGAGCCGAGATTGAGCCACTGCACTCCAGCCTGGGCAACAAAGCGAGACTCCGTCTCAAAAAAAAAAAAAAAATTCCTCAAAACATTGTTTATAATAGTGAAAAAATGGGATAATCTAAATATCCATCCAATATGCTGAAAATAACAAGAAATAAAATGAAGCAATGAAAAAAGATACTTGTTTTCATTTTAAAGACTGATCAATGTTCAGAATTCCTGTGGCACTATACAACAAGAAAATATTACTTGGATGAAACTGCAATTTGTTAAAAATAATAAAAACAAATAACTTAGGTTTTCCTAAATACACATTGAGACAAAAGATGCAATGAAGCAAGCGTACACGTTTTAATCATAGTTTTTAATGCTCTTGAATCTAATTAGTAAAGAAAAGGCAAGCAGCAGTAACTTAAGTCCCTATTTCCCTTCCCTGGTCCCCTTAGCTTTCATTAATGAGTATATAACAAAGAACTATACATAGGTTTGGGATTTTAAAAGCAATATTCTTCAGTACTTTTAAGATTGTCCTCAGTATCTCATTGTTGTTTGCACAGGGCTTCAGCCCATTCTTAGCCAAAGCTGCACAGTTTGCTTCCATGAGACTGTTTGCACTTCAATGTCATTAAAGTATATTTTCCCGGAAATGGTAGTGCAATGCCTCATGATGCTCAACACGCTCCACTTTGTAGCACATGGCACAGAAAGAAATAGAATGCTGTTTGCTACACATATAAAATCTATATATATTTTTTTACAATACTTAAACAGTGGTAACTTTGATGACTGGAAGTTTGGGTAAAGGGTAATTTAGAGACTTCTCTTTTTTTTTTTTTTTCCAAATCAGCTTCTAGAAAATAGATGAGCTCTTTGGGAGGCCGAGGCGGGTGGATCACGAAGTCAGGAGTTCGAGACCAGCCTGACCAACATGGTGAAACTTCGTCTCTACTAAAAATACAAAAATTAGCCGGGCATGGTGGCACACACCTGTAATCCCAGGTACTCAGGAGGCTGAGGCAGGAGAATCGCTTGAACCCGGGAGACGGAAGTTGCAGTGAGCCGAGATTGCACCACTGCACTCTACCCTGGGTGACAGAGTGACACTCCATCTCAAAAAAAAAAAAAAAAAAAGAAAAAAAAAAGAAAAAAAGAAAATGAAAAAGAAAACAGATGAGTTTTAATAACAAGTATATTTCAGAGATGCACACATTGTCTACTTTCTACATTACAGTGTGATCCTTTGTGCTGTTAGCAGAGCTGAGGTCTTCCAAAAGACAACACTACAGAATAAGGTGAACCATCTGCTCCTGTAAGAAACCTTGTGTGATGCACAAACCCAGGACAGATACAGAGCTGCAGAAAGACAAGATGTATGACATATAAAAGGACCACAACAGAGAATTCTGTTTAGAGTACTATTTGCCTAAATGTCACAGCATTTTTTCATAGTTCAAAATACACAGATACTTACATTATGGATATATTTATGAATGATTGTAAATAATCTAATGATATATTGTTAGATATGGTTTGCTAAATATTTATCTGTGACTATAGTATGTTGTATATATACACATATATATAGAATATATATATATATATTCATGAATGAGACTGGGGTATAATTTTCCTTTCTCAAAATGTCCTTGTCAGGTTTTAATATCAAAGTTATGCTGGCCTCATTAAAAAGTTGATGAATGTCTCTAATATGCCCAGAGAGTTTGTAAATTGGTTTCTTAGCCTATTGGCTGCATGTAGTTGATTTATTTAGGAAGTGATCTCAGGTAACAGAAGAAACCAGGAAAAATGAAACTTGGAAAGAACAAAAGCAAACAGAAATGTGCTGGGGACAACCGAGGCTTAATTCTTCTGGAATCTCTCATGTAGTAATATAGAATGCACTAAACCGTCCAATCAAAAGAAAGAAAGGAGCAGCAACCAGTTTCATGCAGGCGTAACTTGACAGCACCTCCCCGCATATATTTCACCTTCTACCCCATGGCTTCTCTGACATGAAGCATGGGACACCTGTGGGAACCTCCCTACAGATACCCACTTATATATTTACAACCTGAAAATGCAAGGGAGTTAACAAGCCAAAGACAAACATTTATCAGCAGGGGACAGGAAGCTGTAGATAAATTCTCCCCTGCCCTGAATTAAAAGGTAAACTGGCAGAATGTGAGTTTTGGCATAAAATTGTTACAACTGGCATTGTTTCTTCCTCAATTGTTTGGTAGAATTCACTGCTAAAACATGAACAGTATATAATCTGCCTATGGTTTTTTTGTGGGAAGGTTTTAATTACAAATGCAATTTATTTAAAAGATATAGGACTATTCAGATATTCTATTTCTTCTTGTGTACATTCTGATAAACTGTATTTTTCTAGGAATTTGCTCATTTTATCTAATTTGCCATATATTGGCAAGTGGTAGTTTATACTATCTTATTACTATTAATTGAATTATAACATATATACAGAAAAAATGAACAGATTATAATTTACAGCTTGATGAGTCTTCACAAAGTAAACATACCCATGTAAATATCACCAAGATGAAGAAATACAACATTAACAGTACATAATCTGCCTATGATATTGAGTTTTTTAAAAAAGTTCTGTGAACCCACAAATTAGACATAATTATTACTATTGTCTACAGTTAGTAGTTGTTTAGATTTACTCACAAGTTTGCTATTTTCTTTGCTCACCATTTCTTTTGACATATAAGCCTTCTTTCTAGGGTCATTTTCCTTCTTCCTAAAGTATATCTTTCAGAATTCCTTTACTGAAGAGCTCTTGATGGCAAACTTTCAGCTTTGTGGCCTAAAAATGTCATAAATGCATCTTTACTCTTGAAATGTATTCTTGGTTTTGTTTTGTTTTTTGTAGCTCTAGGTAGACAGTTATTTTCTCACAGTGCTCTGCAGATAATATTCCTTTGCCTCCGGCTTCCATTGTTGCAGATGGAAAGTCAGCTATTAGTATAAGTCATTTAGTAAATATTTTGTCTTTTCCTTCTCTGGGTGCTTTTGAAATGACTTTGTGTTTTGAAGTTTCACTACAATGTATATAGGTGTGCATTTCTTTAAAATTATCCCTCTTGGGGATTCCTGTATCTGGAAATTCAGCCATTATCTCTCTAGATTTTGCCATTTCCCCATTGTCTCTATTACATCCTTCTGGATCTCCTGGTTGACATATCCAGAAAACTTTTATTCTGACATCCTGGTCTCTTAACCTGTTTTTTATACCTTACATCTATTTGCTTTTCCACATTGCATTCTAAGTAATTTCCCACTCACTGATTTCTCTTCAGCTGTTTACTCTCTTGTTTAACTCATCTACTTTTTCTAATTTCAGTTTTTCTCTTTTTAATGTCTAAATGTTCTCTTTTGTTTTTTTGTTTTTTTTTTTTTTGAGACGGAGTCTTGCTCTGTTGCCCAGGCTGGAGTGTAATGGCATGATCTCAGCTCACTGCAACCTCCACCTCCCCAGTTCAAGTGATTCCCCTGCCTCAGCTTCCCAAGTAGTTGAGACTACAGGCATCACCACCACACCCAGCTAATTTTTGTATTTTTAGTAGAGACGGGGGTTTCTCTATGTTGGCCAGGGTGGTCTCGAACTCCTAACCTCAAGTGATCTGCCTACCTCAGCCTCCCAAACTGCTGGGATTACAGGCTTGAGCCACCGTGCCCGGTCTCCTTTTGCTGTTTTTCAAAAAAAAAAAAAAAATCTGATCAATTTTGATTGTCTCTGACTTCCTTATCATATCCTAAATACTTTTAGTTTTTGCATATACTACAAATACTTATTTTATATTCTGCATTTCATAATTCCAACATATAAAGTCTCTGTGAGTCTGATTTCATAGGTTTTTGATGTTGATTTTCATCCACGGTGGCTTGTTTTCCTGTATTTTCATGATTTTAAAAAACTGTCAGCTCTGCCGGGCACGGTGGCTCACACCTGTAATCCCAGCACTTTGGGAAGCCAAGGCGGGCAGATCACGAGGTCAAGAGATCGAGACCATCCTGGCCAACATGGTGAAACCCCGTCTCTACTAAAAATACAAAAATTAGCTGGCATGGTGGTGCGCCTGTCGTCCCAGCTACTCGAGAGGCTGAGGCAGGAGAATCACTTGAACCCTGGAGGCAGAAGTTGCAGTGAGCTGAGATCTTGCCACTGCACTCCAGCCTGGCGACAGAACAAGACTCCATCTCAACAAAACAAAACAAAACCTGTCAGCTCATATTTCTTGAAGCTTATCTCAGGGAATTATTTGTACCTGGATCTAAAATGCATTTCTCCAGAGAGTATTTGCCCTTGCTTCTGTCTGGTGTTAATAATACAAGCACACTTTAAACTACATATTCAGTTTGGAGCTTTTTCATGCTATCTGAGCAGAGCTAATTCAAGTTCCAAACATGTATGATCATTGCTTGTCATTTCTGCCCCTAAAAATTATTTTACTTTTCCACCAGCTCAACCATACATTAAAAAATTATTTATAAAACTGTATTTTAGGCCGGGCACAATGGCTCACACCTGTAACCCCAGCACTTTGGGAGGCCAAGGTGGGCGGATCAGTTGAGGCCAAGAGTTCGAAACCAGTCTGGTCAACATGGCGAAAACCCTAGTAAAAATAGAAAAATTAGCCATACCTGGTGGTAAGCGCCTGTAATCCCAGCTACTTGGGAGGCTGAAGCAGGAGAATTGCTTGAACCAGGGAGGCGGAGGTTGCAGTGAGCTGAGATTGCGCCACTGCACTCCAGCCTAGGCGACAGAGCAAGACTATGTCTCTAAAAAATAAATAAATGCATACATAAAAATAAAACTATATTTTAGCCATTGGTAAGGTAGTTACATATGGAGGGGTTTTTCTGTGTTTTTTTGCTTACTGATCTGTTTACTAAGGCTTCAGCATCATGTAGATCCAATGACTGAAGTTTATAATATATTAAATACATATCTATCATCTATTATATCTTATATTGGAAGAGCTGGAAAGGCATACTCCCTTTCATTGGTCTAGAGTGTCTTGGCTCTTTTCAGACATTTATTGTGTCATACGTTTTAGAATTAGCTGTCAACACAAGCCATAAAGAACAAAATCACATACTTTGCAGCAACATGGCTGCAGCTGGAGGCCATTATCCTAGGCGAATTAATGCAGGAACAGAAAATCAAATACTGTACTTCTCACTTGTAAGTGGGAACTAAACATTGGATACTCATGGGCATGAAGATGGCAAAAATAGACACTGGGAATACTAGAAGTGGGGAAGGGTTGAAAATCTAATTATTGGGTACTATTTTCACTACCTGGGTGAAGGGATCAATCGCACCCCAACCCCACCATCATTATATATATTCATGTAACAAAACTGTACATGTACCCTCTGAATCTAAAATAAATGTTAAAATTTTTTTAATTAGCTGTCAAATTTTTAAAAAATAACTATAGGGTATTGACTAGCATTGTGTTACTATATACGTGTGCACACGCACAGTTTGGGAAGAACTGAATTATTTACAACTTTTAGTCTTCCCATCTGCACATTTCTCGCTAATATTCTTGTTTTTTTTTCTAATTGACAAACATTTTTCCCCCATTACAGTTTCTAACTAGTTATTTGGTGATTACTAGTTCTTGTGAAACAGGTATGTTTCCATATCCTCCTTGTACAAATGGCTTAATAGTGCTTAAGGAGTT
Source organism: Homo sapiens (assembly GCF_000001405.40). Taxonomy (NCBI): domain Eukaryota; kingdom Metazoa; phylum Chordata; class Mammalia; order Primates; family Hominidae; genus Homo; species Homo sapiens. The sequence goes on along the minus strand of NC_000003.12, from coordinate 170,871,640 downwards.
TATTGTCAAGACATGGAAGACTGCTAAAGACAAGCAAAATAGAATCATTTCTGCCCCTCAGCTTAGGCAGCCCTTGAGGAGGAAATGCCAATTGCTCCCTTTAATGTTTGGAAAGAGAAATGTGATTATTGTAGCTCTTAAGGCAGACAACTAAAAAATCTTGTTGAAATGGATTTCTTCTAGGAATTCAGGGCCTCTCTTCAGACTCTACAAGTCATATGCTCTATTAAAGCATAGTTTCCACGATAACTACTTGCTGGCATAAAGGCCACGAACAGTTCTTACTTTCTGGGGTCATTCTTCAAATTAACAACAAAGTCCACCCCATCCCTTACCCCTACCCCTAGGTATGATAATTTCATCTCCACGAAAACATATTACTGCTAAACCCAAGCGGTTCAGCATGCCACTTTTCGGATCTGATGTCAATTTACAATCCTTCAAAGCTCAAAAGCTACTTTTTCCTTTTGTCAGCAAGACACTTCCACCCTCGTGTGTCTTGTACATACTGATAGGTCACAGCAAACATTCATTGAATTTTAACTGGGAGCATTTTGGATGGAAATCAAGAGACCTGGGATTAACTGTAAAACCCATGATAAATTATACCAAACGAATGAACAAGAAGCAAGCACTACGTGTTTTTCCCTTTGAGACAGTCTCACTGTTACCCAGGCTGGAGTGCAGTGGCTCGATCTCGACTCACTGCAACTTCCGCCTCTCAAGGTAAAGCGATGCTCCTGCCTCAGCCTCCCGAGTGGCTGGGAGTACAGACGCGCACCACCACGCGGGCCATTTTTTTTAAAATTGTTTGTAGAGACGGGTTCTCCCTATGCCTACGCTGCCAAGGGTGGTCTCGAACTCCTGGGCTCAAGAGATTCTCCGGCCTCGGCCTCCCAAAGTGCTGGGATTACAGGCGTGGGCGTGTAAGCATATATATACATGATTTTTTTTTCCCGAGGACCTGGTCCCCGAAGCACCAATTTCCCTCAACAGTCATTTAGAAAACGAGGCTCACAGACAAAACACAAACAAATAACTTTTTCGCTGGAGGATTATAACTGCAATAAAAGGAGATCCCAAAGCAACCTGAGACACTGCCTTGCCCTGATTGGAAAGGGGATTCCGGTGATTAGTGAAAGATGACTCCTGCATCCCTCGCGTGCGTCCGTATCCGGGAGCAGCCACTAGGTAACTGTAGAGGCCACTGCAATTAATCGGCTTGAACAGCCAGGAGCGGAAACCCGAGAGTCAGTTCAACCACAGCCACCCGCGTGTGCCCGCGGAAAGCCGATGGCCTACTCTCGTCCGGCAGCGCACTGGTTTCCTGGGTTACCGGCCTCAGCGCTCCTCCCGCTTTCTTTTCCGGGAGGCGACAATCTGACGCTCTCAGCGCGTGACGCAGCACGCTTTGATATAAATGCAGACCGCGCGGCCGTAGCTTCCTCTCTGCTCTCGCGGCCGACTCGCAAGATGGCGCCGGTGAGTGAGCGATGTCTTGGTGGGAGTGTTGTGTGGCAATTTAATGATTTCCGCTGTAACGATTTTTGCATCTGTCGAGTGGAGACGTCTCAGTCAAGATAAAGGGAGGGGAGTAGTGAAGTCTGGGTCAGAAACACAACCAAGACGCGAGGATCCTGAACTGTTTTTCGAGACTCCCTGGCAGCTGCCATGAGGTCTAGTGGAGTTGGAGCTGGGCCCGGAATTGGTTTAGGATGGGTGGTTTTGGACACGCGGGAAAGAGGGAGGCACAACTGTAAATGGGCCGGTGGTACTGCAATCTGAGCCATTTCTTTACTATCTCGCGCCTGATAATGCTTTTGCCACTCAGCACTGGGTAGGGGAATGGTGGGTAATCGGGCCGGTCTGACGACCTTTGCCAGGCCAGAGGGAGCTCCTAGGCGCTCAGCTCCCGCGATGGCCGACATCACAAGTTTTTGAGAACTTTCAGTTGGGGAAGAAGTTTCTCGGTGAAGTAATTTTTAGAAAAGTATAAGTCTAGATTCCAGCAATGTGAAATAAACGTGCTTCAGATGTTTTACTTAAGTCATTAGTAAGGGAACCAGTAAGATGTTAAAATGTTCCTAAGAATATCTGAAAAGCTAGATATACATGCGCAATTTACAAATAAAGTTAGGATAAAATTGCTGGGCTAGCTACAAAACTGGGTAATGCCCAGCATGGCCATAAACCCTATAGGGTTATCTGTTCCATTAGACAGAAGTTGTTTGTGTCTCCCAAATTAACTTCTGCGCCAACTGGGTAATTATCTTTTGGCACATGTTACCATGCTACCTGAGAAAGCAAACTAATGTGTAATACTTGGTAGCCACTTGGGTGAATCTAAATTGGAGGTTATAGTCTGATAAATACAGATTTGTTTGTTCATATTGCAGTGAATGTACATGGTTGCTGGCCACAGTAACATTTTGCTTATGTAGCCATATTATATGGTCTTGGTATAAAAGGTTTGGATATGGAAAATTTAAGTTCCACGGTGTTGGTTTTTAGGTTTTTTTTTTTTTTTGAGACAGAGTCTGTTGCCCAGGTGGGAGTATAGTGGCATGATCAGGCTCACTACAACCTCCGCCTCCCGGGTTCAAGCAATCCTCCCGACTCAGCCTCCTGAATAGCTAGGATTATAAGCATGCACCACCACACCTGGCTAATTTTTGTATTTTTACTAGAGATGGGGTTTCACCATGTTGGCCAGGCTGGCCTTGAACTCCTGACCTCACGTGATCCTCCTGCCTCAGCCTCCCAAAGTGCTGGGACGGCACCTTGCCTTTTTTATTTTTATTTTTTCTTTTTCTTTTCTTTTCTTTTTTTTTTTTTTTACCAAAGTCCCCTTCCCTTGCCTATAATAACGTAAGAATTGAATTTTCTAGACATAGGTGGGTGGAATCCTAGCTCTGGCACTTACCTGAGCTTGGGCTAGGCAGTATACTAACCTATTCCCATCTGCAGTGGGGTGGCAGAAAAGCACGATAATTTAAAATTGATCATTGGTAGTATAGAAAACAATGAAAGTCCGTAACTTTTTGACAACTTGAACATATTAGGACTTGGTTAGAGGTTCAAATCAACCCCGGCGTGGGTAGTGGTGGTGTTTTTTTATTTATTGTTACATTTCTGTATATGTAACCTAACAGTACATTGTACAGATTGCATTGGTACAAACTTTAAAATTGTTTATATAAATTGAATAAGTTGTTTTATATAGCTACATAATTATTTCTCATTTATGTAGCAGAAAGACAGGAAGCCCAAGAGGTCAACCTGGAGGTTTAATTTGGACCTTACTCATCCAGTAGAAGATGGAATTTTTGATTCTGGAAATTTTGTAAGTATCATTCTACTCGGCTTATTTTTGTAATCAGAGTTATTGATAATGGTTTAAATATATAGTATTTGATAATAACCTAAGCTCTATTCCTAGGGTACCTTCCCTAGTGAATATCTAGGGTTCTCTTCCCTAGTTTTGCATTTTTTCTGTTTTAAAATAGGAGCAATTTCTACGGGAGAAGGTTAAAGTCAATGGCAAAACTGGAAATCTCGGGAATGTTGTTCACATTGAACGCTTCAAGAATAAAATCACAGTTGTTTCTGAGAAACAGTTCTCTAAAAGGTTGGTACTTTTGCAAATTTTAATAAAACTATAGTAGTTTTGGAATATTTCATAGAATATGTAGTTATTACATGTATTCTGTTTATATGCAAGAATAAATATGAACTTTAGACTAAAGGCCTACATAAATGGGAAATTCAGTAAATGAGTGCCAATTGCTGAGTCTAGTTGTAAGTGTCATTTATTGCTAGAATATGAGCCAGTTGTGTCCACAGTCCCAGTCCAGTAAATTATAGGCCCTGTAAATCCAAATTGTATATAACCTTTAATGCTGAGTACTTTAGTATTTGAGTATGTTGCAAGAAACATGTCTGATGTGTACATAGGAGAATTGTCTCAAGTTATTTATTCAGTAGAGGTAGCCAGTTAAAGTCAAAGTCTTAACATCTTGCTGCCAGTTTTTATTTGTTGAATTTATTCACCAAATATTAAATACTACATGGGCAGCACAGGACTGGGTAACCCAACAGTGAACCAAGCAGGCAGTTTACCCACCACCAAGAAACTTCTAGTGGAGAAGAGAGAGTGAAATGGAATTAATCAAGCAGTGATAAGTGCTGTAAGGGCATAAAACTAGTTGCAGAGTTTTTGGGTACGTTGGTAAGTTGGTCAGGAAATGAAATGCAGAAGTGAGCCTTGCAGTTGTTACAGGCAGGATGAACCAGAAGCCTGGCAGATTAAAGTAATAGTAACAAAGCCAGTGTGTCTGGGGTATAGTGTTCTGGGAGGAATGCATGAGATTGGAGGGTGTCTGGGGAGCAGATCTTGAAAGCCATGGGATGTGTAATGGGAAGCAATTGTTTATTGTGGCTGAAAAAGACTAGGGTGATACATCTGGTGGAAACTGAAGATGTAAGAGCTAATTTCAGTGAGAGACAATGATGGCTTGGACTAAAGTGGTTGCAGTACATGTTAACTGAGATTATAATCACTAAGGATTCAGAGATAAAAATGTAGTAGCTGTAGTAGCTGTAAATCAAGTATCTTACAGATAATCAGATAATTATTGTAAAATACAACTCTAGTTACATTAGATGTAGAGAGAGCCCAAGAATTTTCAGAGAAGTTGAGACTTAATGAGCATAGTATGGGTTTAACCCTATTATTAATAGGTTGCCTGTTGAGCCGGGGTGGGATTGGGAGCTAGGGGGCTTGATAGTGGTGAAGGAGGTGTTAACGTTTTCACATATATATACACAGATAATATATTTGAAGAGTGAAATCATATTGCTTAAATAATTTGGCTGTAGCAGTTTGACAAGAGAATGCTACCCTAACAATCTTGAACAATATATAGTGTGGCAGTATGACAAGAGGATGCTACCCTAACAGTCTTACACAATACATCCTGTGAATGGAAGGATGAAATATTTTGGAGGAAGCTAGGTACAGAAAAGATGAATATGATGATGTATATTTTTCGTATAGTAAACCTTTACATAGTAGGAATTGTATTTCTTAATGAAATTTATGTTTTTATTTTAAAAGGTATTTGAAATACCTTACCAAGAAATACCTTAAGAAGAACAATCTTCGTGATTGGCTTCGAGTGGTTGCATCTGACAAGGAGACCTACGAACTTCGTTACTTCCAGATTAGTCAAGATGAAGATGAATCAGAGTCGGAGGACTAGGCAAAGGCTCCCCTTACAGGGCTTTGCTTATTAATAAAATAAATGAAGTATACATGAGAAATACCAAGAAATTGGCTTTTAGTTTATCAGTGAATAAAAAATATTATACTCTTGAACTTTTGTCTCATTTTTTTGAGTATGCTGTTTATATGATTTTGATTTCCCTCTGATAACTATCAACAGTATTTAAATAGCTTATAGCTGGTATAATTTTTTCCCACGATTTCCAAAATCTTTTATGTACTCAGGTAAAAGTAGCGTTATATAGGAAATCTTTTTTTTAGACACTCTCGTTCTGTCACCCAGGCTGGAGTGCAGTGACTCAGCTTCCTAAATAGCTGGAATTACAGGTGTGAGCCACCATGCCCGGCTAATTTTTTGTACTTTTAGTAGAGTAGGGTTTGGCCATGTTGGCCAGGCTGGTTTCAAACTCCTGACCTCAAGTGATCTACCCACCTCGGCTTCCCAAAGTGCTGATTATAGCTGTGAACCACCATGCCCGGCCAGGAAATCTTACTGTAGAACAATTTTTTATATAGCTGTATAAAATGTATATGATTGTCTTGACAGTCTCAAATACTGTTTTTAATAGCTTGTAAATGTAATCTCAAGTGCTTAGAACAGTTCTTACATATAAGTTGCTCTGTAGTTTGCTCTTATAGTTAGCCCAAAGACTCTGGGTGTGAGGCCTGCTGTAAACCAATGTTAAACTGCTTATTAGAAAGCCCTAACCACCTGCTTTGTAGGCACCAGAAACTCAAAACCAAATCTCAACTCAGCTACAGAATCTACTGTGGTCCTTGTCTGAAAAAATTAGTTCACTCGGTTGGAATCTTGTCTCAGAGCATCCTCATCTCTTTCTCAAAAGCCCCTACCCCAACACCGGCGTGTTGGTTGTCTATTGAAACTTACAAGTGGATGGACCCTTTCTCCCGAATAAACTGGCCTTTGAAAGCTCTAATCGAAATGGTTTGGCAAAATCCATACTGCAGGAGATTAGGGAGGACAAGAATGATGTGCCTTTTTGTACTGCTGAGCCTGATGGTGGTGCCACTACTTCAGGTACTTAGATGAGTCTTGATGCTAATAGAATTGTGTCGCCAAACATATCTGGACAGTTACAACCTAATCTATGCATTAATTGGTTTGGGAATTGCTTGAAATTATTGTTTAATTCAATGTTTTAATTCGTTTTCCTAAAAATTTAAGTGCCCCCATCATCGTGCAATACCTCAGTGCAGCAACTCCTTGATTCTTGGATGACTGAACTTCCTAACTTGGCTCTGCCCCATTGTTCCCATTTTTCATGTTTTTCACAAATAGTTAACCAGGTACCTACTACTGTGCACCGCTGCAGAGCATTGAGGATGTATGTGATGAGTAAAAACACCCAGCCTGCTCTGCTGTGTTAGTATTATGACGGAAACTGATCAAATCACATGTGAACAAATTTACTGCTACAAAAGGGAGGGCTTAATAAAAGGAATTTCATCTGGGAAGGCAAATGAAGTTTGTGAGCACTTTATAGAACAGGGAAGGTAGGCAGTATCTGGGAAGGGGAAAGTAGGGCATTCCAGACAGAGGGAGGAGCACTTCTGAAGTTCTCAGGGCATTGGGAGTCTGGTTGGCCAGAGTACATTCTGGAATAGATGTGATCATGAGGATAATCTGGAAAAGTAGAAGCTAGCCAATGCAGGACTGAAGTCCATGTTTTCATCTTGAGGGCAATGGGAGCTTGTAATGAAAGTAACGTGACCTGATGAGATATGCATTTTGAAAAAGATCAGACTGTATTGTGGAGAATGGATTTGTTGTTGTTTTGTTTTTTGAGATGGAGTCTCACTTCGTTGCCCAGGCTGGAGTTCAGTGGCATGATCATGGCTCACTGCAACCTCCACCTCCTAGGCTCAAGTGATAATCCTGCCTCAGTCTCCCGAGTAGCTGGGATTACAGGTGCCTATCCCACGCCCAGCTAACTTTTGTATTTTTTTTAGTAGAGATGAGATTTCACCATGTTGGCTAGGCTGGTCTTGAAATCCTGACCTCAAGTGATCCACCTGTCTCGGCCTCCCAAAGTGCTGGGATTACAGGTGTGAGCCACCGCACCAGACCTGTTCTCAGTATTTTACATGAATTGAATCATTTATCATCATAACATTCTTTTGAGATAAGTATTAATATCCACATTGGCAGCTAGGGAAACTGAGGAACATAGAGTTAAGTAATTCGTCCAAAGTCACACAGTAAGTTATGCAACCCAAAGTTGAGAAAGAGGGTAGCTTTGGGAAATCGGACAGGGACAATGCAAATTTTAAGGTTAAATTGCATTTAGGAAGTAATGAACAGTGAGGATGGGTGAAATTGCCTGACAGAAATGTCATGATCTGATCTAGTTTAGATTACAGTGAAGTATTTCGTTAGTCTATGACAAGAAGGAATGAGAATGCAGAGAATCTCTTAATCAGACTATGCATTTTGAGAATGTGACTTCACAGTCGTGAAGCTGACTTTATTCTGAAGGGCTGAATATTCTGAAAGAGAGCAAATGAGAATCAAGTATTGACAAACACCAATTGCTTCCTCCATTCTTTTCCTAGAGTGATCTTTCAAAAACACATCTGATATTCACATGTTTAAAATTCTTGAAAGCTAATTTAGCATTTAATATTTATTATGTGCCAGGGACTGGGTATATTATGTCAAGTAAGATATTCATGCCTTTAAGGTGTTGGGAGGTTTGTTAAATAATAAAATTTATTGAGGGCTACTGCAGGCCAGGTACTGTTTTGGATACTGAAGTAAACAAAATGGAAACTCCTGCCTTCATGAAGATTACAATCCAGCGGAGGAAGACAGACAATAAAATAAATAAAGTGTATGTTACATGGTGGTAAATGCTATGAAGAAAAATAAAGGAAATAGGGAATGTAGGAAGGAAGGTGTGTTACATTTATAAGTAGGATGAGGGAACATCCTCACTATTCCCCTCCTCACTTTACTGAGAAAGGCTCATTTGAGTAAAGACCTAAAGGAGATACTGAATCTAACCAAGTAGATGTCTTGGGGAGAAGTACTTCAGGCATAAAAAATAGCAAGTGCAAAGGCCCGAAGGCACGAGCACCCCTGGTATAATCAAGGAACAACAAGGAGGCCTCTATGACCTGAGCTGAATGAATGGTGGAGAGTAGAGATTAGAGAAGTAAAAAGAGGTATACATGGGGTGTGGAGAGTGGGATGATGGTATATGAGTTATCGATTACACTAAAGTGTAGCAACTTGAAAGAAATATATCTCACATTTCCTGAGGCTCAGGAATTGGAGCAGCTTATCTGCATAGCTCTGGTTCAGGGTTTCATGAGGTGGCAATCAAGCTGTGAGCCTGCACTGAAGTCATGGGAGAGTTACCAAACTACTGCCTGTTTTTGTAAATAAGATTTTCTGGGAACACGTTAATTTTCATGTTGTGTATGATGGAAAAGTTGAGTAGTTGCAATATAAACCACATGGCCTGCAAAGCTCGAACTATTTACCATCCAACCCTTTAAAAAAAGTGGCTTGACTGAAGCTGGAAGATCAGCCTCCATGCACACTGACAGAGCGGTTGGCAGGAGAATTCAGTTCGCCGGAATTCTTGCTATGTGGCCTCTGTATGACACTGCTGATAACATGACAGCTGGTTTCCCCCAGAGCAAGTGATCCGAGGAGGAAGAAAGAAACCAAGATGGAAGCCACAGTGTCTATAACCGAATCTCAGAAGTAACATGTCATCACCTTTTCTTTATTTTACTGATCACATAGACCAGTCTTGGAAGAGAATAACAAATACCAGGAGGTGGGGATCATTTTGGGGGGCCATCTTGGGGGCTGGCTACCACTGAGGGGATATCAAGTAGGGAGAGTTCTGTAGGCTATTACAAGGGCATCAGCTGTTTTTCTGGGTACATATAAAGTACTGGGGAGCTACAGATAGACTTGAGCAGAGAAATGTCATGATCTGATATATTTTAGATTACAGTGAAGTATTTCGTTAGTCTATGACAAGAAGGAATGAGAATGCAGAGAATCTCTTAATCTCAATCAGACTATCCATTTTGAGAATGTGACTTCACAGTCGTGAAGCTGACTTTATTCTGAAGGGCTAAGAGATTCTTAGATTTTCTTGCCTTGCAGTCTCTGCAAGAGCTGGGCAAATTTTTGTTTTCTTTTTAACTTTTTATGGTTTTTATTTATTTTTAACTTTTTATTATGAAACATTTCAATTACATATGTAAGTAGAAAAAATGTGTTTAATCTATATTCCTTCTACTCCCACATCCCCAGATTATTTTGAAGCAAGTTCCCAACATTTTATCATTTCTTCTATAAACTTATGCTTATATCTCTAAATGTAGTGTCTAAAAGATAAGGACTCTTTAAACATAACTGCCATACCATTATCACACCTATAACAAACAAATTAACAATAATTTCCTGTATTACCCAATGCCCACTCAGTGCTTAAATTTCCCCAAATATCTGGCAATTTTTAGCTTTGTACAAAGTACAGTTGTAATAAGGTCCACAGTTGCAATTAAATGTCTCTTAAACCTCCTTTAAAAGTTTGCCCCCTGCAGCCTGGGCGACAGCGCAAGACTGTCTCAAAAAAAAAAAAAAAAAAAAAAAAGTTTGCCCTCACTCTATTTCTCTCTACTCCCCCATCCCAATTTCTTTGTTTATCACACTAGGTCATTTGTCCTGTAGAATTTTCTCAATTCAGATTTTCATAATTCCCCTCCCCATAGTGTCATTTAATGTGGTCCTCTGTCCACTGTATTTCCTAAAAATTGATGGTCGGATCTAGAAGTTTGATCAATATCAGATTCAAGTGATATTTTTTTACCTGAATACTTAAAAGTGCCATTGTGTATATCTCTTAAGAAGTATGTAATGTCTAGTTTCCTCTTCTGTCGTGTTAGCAGCCATTGATGACCATTGCCTAGATCATTGTTTCCCTAAATGTTGCCCAATGTTAATACTCTATCATTCCTTTTTCACTTAGTAACTAGAATACCCCTATAAAGAGGTACTTCTCGTCAACCCTGAGGTACAGTTCACATAAGAAAGATAGGATAAATGATGCTTCTTTTCCTCTATATTATAATTTTTCAAGTTAATTCCCAATCAGATATTCTCTAAAGGTGATCAGTGAGGGTTTTATTTTTGTTATTTGGTTTTGTTTCAGTTTCTTTGTTTTAGTATCATATTGAACCTATGATGAAAAAGATATGTTATATTCTAATCCATTGTAGTTACTCTTACTTGCAGGGACCAGCCCCACAGGGTCGGTGGGTCTGTCCGTGTGTGCGGAGATGACAGAGTGTAGAAATAAAGACACAAGACAAAGAGATAAAAGAAAAGACAGCTGGGCCCGGGAGACCACTACCACCAATGCGCAGAGACCGGTAGTGGCCCCGAATGCCAGGCTGCGCTATTTATTGGATACAAAGCAAAAGGGGCAGGGTAAAGAGTGTGAGTGATCTCCAACGATAGGTAAGGTCACGTGGGTCACGTGTCCACTGGACAGGGGGCCCTTCCCTGCCTGGCAGCTGAGGCAGAGAGAGAGAGGAGACAAAGAGAAAGACAGCTTACGCCGTTATTTATGCATATCAGAGACTTTTAGTACTTTCACTAATTTGCTACTGCTATCTAGAAGGCAGAGCCAGGTGAACAGGATGGAACATGAAGGCGGACTAGGAGCGTGACCACTGAAGCACAGCATCACAGGGAGACGGTTAGGCCTCTGGATAACTGTGGGCGAGCCTGACTGATGTCAGGCCCTCCACAAGAGGTGGAGGAGCAGAGTCTTTTCTAAACTCCCCCGGGGAAAGGGAGACTCCCTTTCCCGGTCTGCTAAGTAGCAGGTGTTTTCCCTTGACACTTACGCTACCGCTAGACCTCGGTCCGCCTGGCAACGGGCATCTTCCCAGACACTGGCGTCACCGCTAGACCAAGGAGCCCTTCTGGTGGCCCTGTCTGGGCATAACAGAAGGCTCGCACTCTTGTCTTCTGGTCACTCCTCACTATGTCCCCTCAGCTCCTATCTCTGTATGGCCTGGTTTTTCCTAGGTTATGATTATAGAGCGAGGATTATTATAATATTGGAATAAAGAGTAATTGCCACAAACTAATGATTAATTATATTCATATATAATCATATCTAAGATCTATATCTGGTATAACTATTCTTGTTTTATATTTTATTATACTGGAACAGCTCATGTCCTCGGTCTCTTGCCTCGGCACCTGGGTGGCTTGCAGCCCACATCTCCCCCCTTTTTATTAACTAGGATCGCCATCGCCATCATTGCTTGTCGTTGACTTCGGACTTGGTTTCGGACTCCTTGGAGGCATCTGCAGACTAAAAGGAGACTACATAAGCATACCAATATTAATAATGCCAGTAACAACAATGATCCTCCGAAGGGTTTGAGCCATTTGAAGGGATTAAAATCAGATAATTGTTTAGTTATGCCTTGAAAAATATCTGAGCCAGGAACAGTGGATAAATGGGCTTGTGAAGTCTCAAAGAATTGCTCTTTAAGTTGTGAAATATCCAACGTTATGTTATCATCACAGGTTTTTAAATGTCTTGAGACCTTTTCCCAGCTATGTTGATCTTGATTATAAGCATAAGGCGTTATGCAATAATCAGAAGTATTCCAATCACACTATAATTGCATACAGTGTTCCAAGTTCATAACTTTATCTCCCAGCCAGGTTACACTTTGGCGGAGATCATTAATTTGATTAGCTAATTTTTGAACAAATTGAGCCTGAGAATTCCAAAGTCTGGAGGAGTTTTTTTGCCATGCTTCAACATAGTGAGCAGTTTGAACAGAATTGTGGATGGCAACTCCAGCAGTTGCCGCTGTTGCAGTAACCGCAATTAGTCCTGCAAGGACTGCATTAAGAGTAAAAATAAATCTCTTTGTTCTTTTGAGGATACCTTTAAGAACTTCATTGACTGTGTGAATAGAGGGGGAAGACTCCCATGGACGATGTAAAGAAACTGGTATCCATACCCCCTCTCCAGCCCTAACTAAGAGAATACTTGTAGTGGGATTAAAAGTAGTATCAATGCACGTGAACAGCTTACAGTTATCACATTGTATAGTTTGTGTATTAGGAATAATAATTATATTTCCAACCAACAGCATGTAAGGGGGTTTGACACAGCTGCTGATGGGTATCACCCGTTCAGATATGAAGGTGATGTTGAATGTGGGTGTTTTGGTATTAGTACGAAGGAGTTGATAGGTAGTGTTCCATATCCTTATTCCTGTCAAGGCTGCAGCTAATTTCCATAGTTCAGGATGTTCTGGGGTAACAAAGGGATGAATCATTTTTGGTCTAGGAGGAGCAATGCCTGCATCCGTCCATCCATTTGAATGGGTAAGGAGACACCCATTGTCTCAGCCTGTAAGACTGCCATCCATTCTCCATATAATCTAATAAATAAATAAACTCTGAGCATGAGGTATTTTTGCCGGAGCAATCTTGCGAATAATGCCCTTTTGGAGCCCAATCAATAGCAATACCCGTGGCTAGACTTTGGAGCACAACAGCTTTGGAAGCATTACAATTATCCCATAAAACTGAAGTCACTATAAGAGGCCCCTTTGTAGGTTTCTTCGGGCAGTCTGGCAGTTCTTTTGTTTTATTAGTTTTGGTAGTTACACTTACTAATATGCAAATGGTCTCATACTGAGCCAATAGGAGCCTCTTCAGGTTGACTCTTGTATCCTTTTGGCATGATCTTATTTGGATTTTATTGCTTATTTGGTTTCTGGTATAATAGGATGTGCTAGGCTCTTCCAAATTTCCTGCCTCAGATCTGGAGTCATCCGTTTTTTTGTTGTTGTTGTTTGCTTGTTTTTTTGAGACAGAGTCTTGCTCTATCACCCAGGCTAAGTGCAGTGGCGCGATCTTGGCTCACTGCAACCTCCGCCTCCCAGGTTCAAGTGATTCTCCTGCCTCAGCCTCCTGAGTATCTGGGACTACAGGCATGTGCCACCATGCCTGGCTAACTTTTGTATTTTTAGTAGAGACGTGGTTTCGCCATGTTGGCCAGGCTGGGCTTGAACTCCTGACTTCAAGTGATCCTCCTACCTTGGCCTCCCAAAGTGCTGGGATTACAGGGGTCAGCCAGTGTGCCTGGCCAGGAGTCATCCATTTCTACAAGGAGCTCTGGACTATTTTCTAGGTGCTGGAGATGCTTGTCATTACTGGGGTGGTGTTTGTTTCTAGGCCTTTTGAGTGGACAGAGTGAAGGAATACATTTTTGTTCTTAAGAGGAAATGATATGTTTATTCTGATGCTTCCAATTCAAAATCAGGATAAAAGAGTTTTTATTTCATCAATTGTATGACCATATCTCTTTTTTCCCATGCTGAAAGTTCCAGTTCTCAATGACACCAACACAAATGCTCATTTGCTTTATCTCACAATATACACATAATAGTTTCAATAAAATAATACCAACAAAACTACCTATAATATAATGACTTTACAGCTTAAGATTGTTTTGCAGTTCTTTTTGTCCTTATGGTATATCCCACTAGAAATGAACAAAGTTTCGTGTTTTAAAGTCACTAGAAATGATTCATCTCTGTGTGGGCGTAGAACAAGCTTGATACACAGAGTCATTTGTTTCATTTTGCTTTTGATTAAAAAGTTTGCTTAAGCCCACTTTGTTTTTTATAATTCTGTAAAATATTTACAGGATTCTAAAGTCCAATCTACAAAACAAAGTATATTTAGAAAAGTCTAGTTTCTCTGTCTTTTTTTTTTTTTTGAGACAGAGTCTCGCTCTGTTACCCAGGCTGGAGTGCAGTGGTACAATCTCAGTTCACTGCAACCTCTGCCTCCTGGGTTCAAGCAATTCTCCTGCCTCAGCCTCCTGGGTAGCTGGGACTACCAGCTCCTGCCACCACACCCGGCTAATTTTTGTATTTTTAGTAGAGAAGGGGTTTCACTATATTGGCCAGGCTGGCCTCGAACTCCTGAACCTGTGATCCACCCGCCTTGGCCTCCCAAAGTGCTGGGATTACAGGTATGAGCCACCGTGCCCAGCCCCTAGAGAGGAGTTGTAAACCTGAGACTTACAGGTCAAAAGATAAATGAATGTGTAATTTCTAGATATTGCTGAATTTCCCTTTACAGGGGTTGTAGCATTTTGCTCTCCCACTAGCCTTCCCACCAGCAATCTGTGAAATCTGTTTTCCTGTAGACACACCAAGAGATAACCTTGTCCAATTTGAGGCTTAACTGACAGGTGAGACCTGGTTTTCAGGGTAATTTTCCTTTGCATTGTATTTGTGAGTGAGGTTGAATGTCAATAAGGGTCATTTGCATATCTTTCTCTGTGAGCTGCCTGTTTATATCTCTAATATATATCTGTGGAATTCTTGTTTTTATTTTTAATTTTTTACTTTTAGAAGCTCCCTCTATGTTAAGGCTATTAACTCCTTGTGTGTGATGTAAATTACAATTTCTTTTTTCAGCTTCTCATTTGTCTTTTTCCCCTACTTATGGTATTTTTGTTTTTTAACTTTTTTTTGAGACAAGCCCTTGCTCTGTTGCCTAGGCTGGATCATGGCTCACTGCGTCCTTGACTTCGTAGATTCAAGCCATCCTCCCACCTCAGTCTCCTGAGTAGCTGAGACTACAGGCACACACCACTACCTGGCTCATTTTTTAAAAAATTTGGGTAGAGATGGGGTCTTGCTATATTGCTCAGGCTGGTCTTGAATTCCTGAGTTCAAACAATCCTCCTGCCTGAGCCTCCCAAAGTGCTATTATTGCAGGTGTGAGCCACCATACCCAGCTGCTATTTTTCTTTTGTTTTATTACTAGTTTTCATTTTGTTTTGTTGTAGTTGTTGCTATAGAAGCATTATTTTTATTTTTATGTAATTAAATCAATTAACTTTTTTCTTATTGCCATGGTTAGAAAAGCTTTCCCCGTTATCAAGAATTCATTTATGTTTTCTGCTAGTACTTACATATTTTCATCTTAAAAAAATGTAGGTCTCTATTCTATTTGGAATTTATCCTGGTTTACAATTTGAGAAGTGGATCCAATTATACCTTTTTCCCATGTGACTACCCACCTATACCATTACCCCTGATGAAAAAGTTCCCAGGAAGTTTTGCTTAGCATAGGTTTTCCTACTTACTGTCTGGAAACCCTTGTATGTGGTCATGCTGAAGGGACTGGAGTCTAGATATATAGCTTCAGTGTGTGCTCTTTTACAAGCTGGATGATTAAAATGCCAGGAAGGCCAGTTTTAAACAATGTGTTGCATTTACAAATGGCTTTCTCTTTTCTTTTGATCCCTTAACAGCCCTCTGTGGCACAATATTATCTTCCCATTTTTCAGATGAAAAAACCAGGTCTCAGGTTTACTGGCTTGCCCATGGTCACACCATGGCACCCACCTCTCACTCCTCACCCAGTGCTCCTCCCACACACGGGGCCATGTCACACATCCTGCCTCTCTGTTGCCTACTAGCTTTGTGACCTTGGACACATCTCTTCACCCTCTGGGCCTCAGTTTCCCCTTCTGTATATAAAGAAGTGGTTAAAAATAGGTCAGCATTTCTCGGGCTTTAGTAACACCTGCTTCCTTTTGATAAACACAGATATTTCTCATGTTCCTTGTTCCCAGTTCCAATTGCCACCCTGTGATATAACTGATGCATAAATATCCCCACCAACCAAGGTATTTTGGGGCTTTCTATTCTGAAACAAAACAAAGTAAGATTTTTGGGATAATTTTCCCACTATAAACTCATAATATTGGATATACCTTTTTTTTTTTTTTTTTTTTTTTTTTTTTGAGACGGAGTCTTGCTGTGTCGCCAGGCTGGGGTGCAGTGGCGCAATCTCGGCTCACTGCAACTTCCGCCTCCCAGGTTCAAGCGATTCTCCTGCCTCAGCCTCCTGAGTAGCTGGGATTACAGGCCCACACCACCACACCTGGCTAATTTTTTGTATTTTAGTAGAGATAGGGTTTCACCAGGTTGGCCAGGATGGTCTCGGTCTCCTGACCTCATGATACACACAAGCTTCTTGAGAGTAACATACTTCCCCCATGATAAGGCTTTTTTTTTCTGTCCTAAAATCCTATGAGTTAATGAGCCAAACTGGGAATCATGATCTGCTATCTCAATTATGATGGAATAGATATGTTTTCTCCCAAGGGAGGGAACACTGCAACTCCTCTCTCCCTCTTTCTCTGAGATGGGGAGGTGTGAATTACAGATTCCATACATGTCACAAATATATGGTCAATGATTTCTGCCTTGGCAGTCGCAGTCATGGGAGATGATGGGTGAGTTATATATACTCTCTGCACTCAAGGAAATCCCAGTTCTAACGAGGGGAGCAAATGTGGGTACAAATGACTTTAGGTAAGTGTGGTTCATGCAGTAATAGAGATATTACAAAATGCTTTAGAAGCACCAATACCATAATGAGTGGGAAAAGGAATCCAAGAAGGCCTTCTGCAGGAGGTGGCTTACCCTGACTTCTCTTTAAGGAAGAATGGGAATTGATGGGGCAGAGAAGAAGAGGGAGAGAATTCCAGGCTGAGGAGGAATGGTGATAGTGGCTACTACTCATCGAAGGCATCTGTTTTGGAATCTTTACATACTACATCTCATTTAATTTCCACAGCTACCCTTCAAGCTAGTTATTAGTCCCCTTTTACAAATCAGAAAACCAAGGGCTTAGAGTGCTAAACAGTCGGTCTACGGCCACACAGCTAATAAGTTCCAAATTGGAATTTAAATTCAGATCTCTCTGGCTTCAATGCTCATGCTCTGTAAATGCTTTAGTGTAAAAAAATGTTTCTAAATTTCTCCCTGCCAGGCAATCTTTTCTCACAGTGATGCACATTCAGCTGGCTCCTTAGGAGAACCAAGCCTAAGAATAATCTAGCTTTTGAAGAGAACCAAGCTTCTTTTTTCCTCTTCTGGA
Source organism: Homo sapiens (assembly GCF_000001405.40). NCBI lineage: Eukaryota > Metazoa > Chordata > Mammalia > Primates > Hominidae > Homo > Homo sapiens. The sequence continues at coordinate 170,854,358 of NC_000003.12, read as the reverse complement.
GAACCACAAACTGGCTTAACAGAGGGCTCTCTGACGCACAGTTTTATTGTAAGAAGGCCAGTCACAGGAGACGGCCTACTGCCTTCAAGAAACAGCATGGAAGATTCCTTATTTCATCACCCCTGTACTTTTCATTGAGGTATGAAACAGACTTTTCCAATGAGACTTTTTCTCTCCTATTTCAGCTGAGACTCCAAGAACTGAGAACAAAATTAAGGTGCCAAATATTCCCACATTCCAAATCTATGCAGAGCTTACAAAGGAGGTGCTCCAGCTCCAGTTTTCTAAGACTTAGTTCATTTCCTACTTCCAGGACACATGAGAAATTGAAGACTTTTAGGCATTTGACTCATCCTTGAGAAAAACTAAGGCAAAGGCAGTGGCTGGAGCAGTTTGCCTACGGGAGAGCAATGAGGGGTACATTTCCATAGCTACAAGGAGGCACAGGTGCTTCCCCTGGACCAGATGTAGTCCACAGATGTAGTGCACGGGGAAGGACCAGGCTTGGGTTGAGTTCTTGTTCACCTAAGAGGACTGCTTGGGAGAGAAGTGGGACCCCAAACAGAAAGAGTCTGTGTATAAGGGACAACCACATGCTCAGGAGCTACAGGTAGTGAGTGAAGATCCTGAGAAATGGCATTGCTTATGTCACGAATGTTGCAGCAAAAGATTCTCTGTGATAAATCTTTGAGAAATCCAGAAATGTATACTTCAAGAGAAAGAAGAAGCCTTGAACTTTCTTCAAGCCCAGAAAGCCACATCACCAAACTGTAGTGGTGGAGACAGACCTTTTCTGTCCCTTCCTTTTGCCTCCCAGACCCTGCTCATTTCAAGGCCAACCCCAGAGAAGCCAGAGGCAGCCTATTGAAGTTGGAGGAGGTACACACCTTGGAATTCCCTGGTACACAAACTAATACCACTGCCTTTTTGTTTAAGCTATATCATAAACATTCTGACACTTTGACAGAATTTTTGGTTTATTTGTTTTCCTCCCTCACTAGACTGTAAATACTTCGAGGCTAAAAACCAGGTCAAATTTATCTCTGTGTGCCTTTCTGGGTAAGCAAATCCATATAACTACAAAAGAATCCCAAGTCAGATAATTAGTAACATTACCTTTCATTCATAAATGTAGAAAGGCAACCAAGGTTCACTCAAAATGAGTAGAACCAACAGTATCAAAGAAAATGATTGGAATGAACAAATTAAAACAAGTGACCCAGGACAGATATGCAAGTAGCAGAAGAAAGTTTCCCTCCGCCCAAGAAAATCTGGATCCTCATATTGCGAGGTAGGCCAGGTAGGATGAAGGGAAAAGCTCATAACTTCCTGAAGAAGTTTCAGTACTCCAAAGGATAAAAAGAAAATCCCAAAAGCTTCCAGAGGGAAGAGAAAACAAAACAAAACAGTTTACCTACAAAAAAATAATCTTGAATTGGACCTACTAAGGGAGTGCACTAAGCTTACCAGCAGGAATGTCTGGGTCTCATCAGCTATAAGAATCCTTTCCTGTCCTTAGGCTTCCTGTTTTCTATAAATTAAGAGATTAAACCAGCAGATTTCTGTTTCTCTCTCTCTCTCTCTCTGTCTCTCTCTCTCTCTCTCGCTCTGTGTGTGTGTGTGTGTGTGTGTGTGTGTGTGTGTGTGTGTGTGTGTGTTTCCAGGTCTGACTTGCTGTGAATGCTTGTTGATGTACTCCAAGGCTGACCTCTCTTTTGGAGCTTTCCTCATGAAACCCAACAGGCCACTCCATAAATCCACAACACATACAGTGGATTTTTTTTTTAAACTGCCATATGCTTTAAATAAGCATGTGAGTTTATTGCCTGAACACATGCTGATTTATCAACTCAATCTTATTTCTTAAGGACAGGAATAGTGGTTTCGAGTACAGTACACTATAAATAGAAAACACAACACGTGACTGCTGGATTAATCAATCAGCGAACTTTTATGAGCATCTGCAGTATGTCTCTTTCTGTCTCTCTTTTTTTTTTTTTGAAACAGGGTCTCGCTGTCTCACTCAGGCTAGAGTGCAGATCACAGTTCACTGCAGCCTTCACTTCCTGGACTCAAGGATCTTCCCACCCCAGCCTCCCAAGTAGCTGGGACTACAAGTATGTGCCATGAAACCCAGCTAATTTTTATTCTCTCTCTCTCTCTTTTTTTTTTTTTTTTGTAGAGATGAGGTCTCGCTATATCCCCCAGGTTGGTCTTGAACTTGTGGGCTCAAGGATCCTCCTGCCTCAGCCTCCCAAAGTGCTGGGATTACAGGAGTGAGCCATTGTGCCCAGCCAATATGTCTCATACCATGAAAAGTCATAGGATTTTGAGAAGACCATACAGATCTTTTGCTCCAGTGTTTATCAAAGTGCATAAAACAGGACTGTAGTTCCATGTGAACATAGTAAGTAGTACAGTAACAACAAAATAACACATGGGAAATGGACAGTTAAGCAAACTAAACATTTATTTGCTTTGGGAATTTTTCAGGTCTTTGTGACTCTCCATGCATCGGTTCCCCCAAATATGTAGCTTTGCTCAAATGTAGTGGATCATAGAGTACTTTTATTTACCAACTCAAGAAAGCATATGAGTTTCTAGATCTAACTGATGGTTTACAAAAGATGCAGTGGGTAAAGAACATATTAAATGATACCAGGAGGATTTAATCAGCCATTCCAGAATGTAAGAGATTCTACAAGATAAATGACCAGTTTCTCCAATGACAAAGAAATAGCATTAACAGAAGAGGGTGGGCCAGTTATAGAACAAAAGAGATTTAAGAGAAAAATCACCATATGTAATATGGGGACTTTTTGGAAAATGATCCAAACAAACCAAATGCAAATAGATATTTTTGAGATAAGCAAAGATAATTGAACATGAACTGGGTATTAAAAAATATAAGCATTACATATTCTAAAACCTAACTATTGTTCATTTTACTCAGTGTGATTATGATATTACTGTTATTTTTTAGTTTGTTTTGATATACATACTGAAGTAGTAAAGGTAAATTAATACCAGAATTTTCCTGTAAACATATACTGGTAATGCTTTTCTCCTTGATATGAGTGTTTTGTAGGTGGGTATGTTAACTTTATTAAAAAGATGTTCTTAACACTTATGATTTGTTCACTTTCTATGTGTAAGTCCTATTTCAAAAATTTTATATATAATTTAAATATTATATATGCATATATAATGCATATAGGTGGTTTAAAAATCAGTTTCTATTGTAAAAGAGTACACAGTGAAAAGTATTCCTTCCTTTCCCTGAAGCCTACTGACCCGTTTCTTCTCTCAAAGACAATGACTATTACCAGCATTCATCTGAAGGTATTTTTATTTTATGTGTGTACAAGTATGTCTATGCAGATATGTCTTGGATATAATCCATGTAAGTATATATAGATTTTTCCATTTTTAGTAGTAACATGTTATTTTATTGTGTGTTTTACTGTGTGTTATTTGCCTGGTCACTTAGTGCTGGAAATTTAGGCAGTTTACAGTTTTTGTACAGTTTTTGTACAGTCTTTATGCTCATGGGTTTTTAAATGTTAATAGATGTTGCCAAATTGTCCTCCAAGATGTCTGTACTAGTTTACCTCCATTTCCACCCAGTAATATATATATCACGGTGCTCAAGTTCACAGTATACTGAGTCATATATAGTAATGCCCTCAAGAGGGAGGTATCTTTAAAATAAATTCAGGATAAATTGACCTTTGATTATAACTGTTCTTACTCAAATACCTTAAACAAGGAAGACACAGCTTATTTGTGTATAAAATTAGTATAGCAGAATGTCTACTTAAGTACTTCTAGAATTAAAGCTTTTCTCTTCTAAATGGTGTGAAAAATGGCTATAGTAATCAAGATTGTGTGGTGCTGACAGAGAGACTATAAAGGGTTGGTTCAGTACTATGCACAAGATGTAGCACCAGGTGCTTTAAATATATTATCTTATTTTCTACTGATACATTTTATAAATGAAGTAATTGAGACTCAGAATGACTAAATAGCAAAGCTGGAATTGGAACCACTTGCAATTGGTCTGATTCCACAGCCTGTTTTTTCCACTTCTTCAAAGCAGAAAGGTATGAGCAGGAGGAAATAGAGCTATAGTACATGGCATGAGTGGAAGGGTATGGGGAACATTGGAGGAAAAGTTTGAAAAATTAGAGTGGAGTGAGAGTAAGGAAGAAATTGAAACAGAGATGTGTATGTTGGGGAATGAAATGATGAAGGCTGAAAGTAACATGTAAAATATATTAGTTGAAAGAGACTGATGTCTGGTGTGGGGGAAACCCTAGGAAATCATCAAAGAAAATTAGCAAAGAGACTTGAATGGTTACCCAGGCAGGAGGAATTGAGGGTTTAGTCTTGAGATGAAGGAGTGGATGGATGCAAGAGAACCTGACTTCATTTGCTTAATTTTGCATATACGTATAGAGTGCTTGCCATGAGCCAACATGATGCTCAGGGCTAGGACTGCAGCAGTGAACAAGATAGACCCATGCTCTGCTGTCATTGAGCTTACAAAAAGTACTAACAGGATTTGATGATGAAATGGAGAGAGGGGTGAAAGAAAAATGGAGATAAAATAGACTATAATTTGAACCTGGAGGTCAGATTCTCAGAAGTGAGGACAATTCATATCTCTGATTTGATGTCATTGAGTTTGAGTTTTGAAATAGACATTTTCCTGCTGTATCTTCATAGAAGAAAGTTTTACATAAAAGAAAGGATGGGCAAGAACACTATGATGATTGTGTTTTCTTATCTATTTCTAAGAATTGTGATTTCTTACATGTCAGAGACTCTAACATTCTAGTTATAGAATCACTTCTCTTCAGTGGGGCTTGGTTTCCTCTATCGTAAAATATGTTGGCTGTCTTAAAATTCACCAGGGCCTAAACCTGGCTGCACGTTAAAGTCAGCTGGGGGATTAGAATCACCTGCACATTAGAATCTCCTGGGAGAGCTTTTACGTAATACCCAAGCCCAGGACTTACCCAGACCAGTTAAAAAAGAATTTATGTTGGTGGTTTCAGGCAGGGGTATTTTTGTTAACTTTCCCAGATGATTCTAATACTTAGCCAGGGTAGAGAACCACAAGTTGGATAATCTCTAATGTCCTTTCCACGTTTGAAGAGGCCATGATTTTCAAGGGCAGAAAATTAAACACTCTTAAGGTTACATTTTGTAGATTAATAGGGTGGGAATGAGCTTAGGGTGTGGGTGGTTATACGTAATAAAAATATATTTATATTCGTCTAATCCAAGGAAAAGAGATGCTCTTGAAAGAACTATAAAAATAAAAATAGCCGAGCATGATGGCTGATGCCTGTAATCCCAACACTTTGGCAGGTCAGGATGGGAAGATCACTCGAGCCCAAGAGTTTGAGACCAGCCTAGACAACATGGTGAAACCCTGTCTCTACAAAAGATACAAAATTAGCCTGGCATGGTGGTGCGTGCTTTAGTCCCAGCTACATGGGGGGCTGAGGTGGGAGGATCACTTGAGCCTAGGAGTTTGAGGCTGCAGTGAGCCATGATTGCACCACTGAACTCCAGCCTGAGCAACAGAGCAAGACCCCGTCTCTAAAATATAAAAATAAAAATACATTTACATTAGTTCAATCCAAGGAAAAGAGCAGCTCTTGAAGGAACTTTTAGATCCTATCTGGCTGCAAAAAAGGAGAAGCACAGAAACACATCCAGTATTTGTGTATGTGTGTGTATAAACTACATACACATATAATTATTATTAGCACTCATAGAAATATTGGATTAATTCCTAGCTGCATGATAGGCTGTAATGTGATATTTTTCCCATTAGATGGAGCTATATCTTTGTTAAGGAGACTTCTTATAACTTTCTAAAAGGGATATTTTATAGATGATGAATTTTCCAGTGAAACAGGAAAGAACCATTATTAAAATGCATGATATAAATTGTTTCTAAAATAGCCATGTTATTTCTAACTCTTTAAATATCTTGAGTTGTTCATCTGTTTGGCTTTGCACAGGCTTTATATCTCACATACTGTGTGGACATAAACATACTTAATAAAACTTTGTTTTCTGTATTTCCCTTCAAAAAGGCCCAAATCAAACTCAACTCCTGGAATAGTAGCTCTTAATAGTATTTCAATTAGGATATTTTTAAATACGAGTCTACAATCTTTTATTTGCAGTTTCAAATTAAAAGAGGCACATTTCATAAATTAAAAAAAACAGACATTCAGTTAAACTTGAATTCTACTTAAACATTTTGTGTGCATGTGTGTGTGTGTGTTTTGTAGAGACAGGGTCTCCCTATTTTTCCCAGGTTCATCTTGAACTCCTGGCCTCAAGTGATCCTCCCACCTCAGCTTCCTAAAGCCCTAGAATTACAAGCGTGAGCCACCACACCTGGCCTGAATATGTATTTTTTTTTTTTTTTTAGTATAAGTGTGTTTCATGCAATGTTTGGGGCATATACTAAAAAATTACTTGTTCCTACACCACCACCACCACCACCACCACAAAAAACAAAAGCAACCACAACGATAAAAATTATTTGTTGTTTATCTGAAATTCAAATTTAACTGAGCAGTCTGTATTTTATCTTGCAACCCTATCTAAAAACCTAAGATTTTTGTAACTATTTTATGGCAAAATGTAACCTAGAGGTGAGGCTATTTATCGTCTTTACTTTGTGTGAATGTTTATATGTATTACTGTACATTATATGTATTAATGTTTTCAGTAATGGGTACTGCTCCAGATTCCACTGGGAATGTTACATAATCCCTGATATTTGTACCGTATTATCTTTTTAGAATAAAAAAGCAAGGAATTCCAAAATATATTTGTCTCCAATACTTTTGGAAAAGAGATTGTGGGCCTATAATAAATTTCTACCTTTGTAAGCAAGAAAAATAAATATGCAAGAAGTTATTTCCGAGAGTGCTGTAAGAAATTTTTAAAATTTCAAAATTACTTCATTATCATTAGTAGGACTGGAAATAACCATCTATTTCTTTTTTAAAAGAGTCTCTTACACATGGACATGGGGGGGTAACATCACACACCAGGGCCTGTCAGAGAGTGGGAGGCAAGGAGAGGGAGAGCATTAGGACAAATACCTAATGCATGCGGGGCTTAAAACCTAGGTGATGGGTTGATAGGTGCAGCAAACCACTATGACACATGTATAACTATGTAACAAACCTGCATGTTCTGCACATGTATTCCAGAACTGAAAGTTAAAAAAAAGAAAATGAGTCTCTTAATTTTTGCTGTCTTCAAAGAAGTCAGGGAAAGAATAAGGGAGACAAGGAACCTACAGTCCAAACTGAAAGAACTAAAGGAGAAACCATCGTCCTCCTCAAAAGGAAAGTCACCACAGACCCCAAAAGATAGGTGGCCATTTTTTCTTTCCTTCAAGCCAAACAAACCCTGAGAAAGAAGACTCCCCAAATGTCTTCACATTATATCCCAGAATGTTGTTACTTTGCTACCTAGGAAGTGCTTTTTTTTTTTTTTTTTTTTTTTTTTTTTTTTGAGACAGTCTCACTCTGTCACCTAGGCTGGAGTGTAGTGGTGCAAGCTCAGCTCACTGCAACCTCCGCCTCCCAGGTTCAAGGGATTCTCCTGCCTCAGCCTCCCAAGTAGCTGGGATTACAGGTGCCTGCCACCACGCCTGGCTAATTTTGCATTTTTAGTAGAGATGGGGTTTCTTCATGTTGGTCAGGCTGGTCTTGAACTCCCAACCTCAGGTGATCCGCCCGCCTCGGCCTCCCAAAGTGCCGGGATTACAGGCGTGAGCCACCGCACTTGGCCTGGAAAATGCTCTCTAATTTGTCTGAAATCTGTCTGCTTTCAGTACATGTTTAATAGAATCAATGTTGATGACCATTAAAGCACTGCTTACCAACATTCTCACAAATATGCCTTTTACTTCATTAAATACGTATTGGTTTTCTCCTCAGATTTCTATTTCCAGTTTCAATCACCTCAATTCCCTTCAGAATTTTTCCATTGTAGCCATTTCTCAAACATTATTATTATTATTCTAAAACAACTAGCATTAGTCTTGTATGCATTAGTATATTAAAAGCTTAATATATAGGATTACCTCTCTGCAGTTAATATACACCCAAGAATTATGCTCCAAAACAGTCTCAGTCTTTACAATGTGTTCACTAGGTTTTTTTCTGCTAAGTCCCTTTATATCAAATCAGTTTCTTCTAATAACTTTGAAAAATGCGTTTTCCCTAATATTCTCTTTTTCTTTTACAAAGAAACACACACACACACAAACACACAGACACACACACACACATGCATGCATGCATTTTGCCTATATCTTCCAACTTTCTAAAATCAACTCAAAATCTTATTATACCCTTGTGCTGTCAGCAAGTTTGTGGTGATCTGTCTTGTTAATTAAAAAATAATAGTAGTCCTTTGGTCACGCATGTATAAAATGCATAGTATCAAAAGGGAAACAGGTCTGTTTAGTGCCATTGTATGAAATGGTCTATTCATAATGGATGTCAAAATATGTACAAAAATATATATTATATGATATAGATACATTTAACACATATTTGACTACAGTATATGAATAATTTTATATTTTTGTTGCAAATTATAAATTTTGTTATAATTACAAAATCTTGTAATTTTGTATTTTTAAGCTAATATTATAATGTTATCATTTTCCCAACAAACACAACTTTCAATAGGTCCCTCATGTAGATTTACCATAATTTGCTTAAACCATTCCTCTGTCGTGGAACATTTAAACTACTTTAAATTATTTACTACTATAAACAGTCTGGCAGTGAACATCATGTTGGGTTTTTAAACACTTAGGGTTCTCTAGGATAGATTTCCAATAATTGAATTGTGAGGTAAAAGAATGAGGAATAATTTAAGGCTCTTGATACGTAGTGTGGCATTTTTTCCCAAAAGGATTGTGTCAGATTATAGTCTCATTAGCAGTGTATTAAAATGAGTCTTGCTTGCAATTATCAGGTACCTAAATAAGGTGATCCTTTTCTTTAGTTTTTCATATGACTCTCTTCCTTGAGATTTTTATTTCAAGATGGCTAAGAGCATTACCTGAAAATGGCTAAATTTACCTTTGTAATGAATTATGCAGTTTACTGAACCCAGTATTGATCTGTGGCTTTTAACGAACATAGAATTACAAGTACAGAGAGTTTCTGATGTTAATTCTAATACCTCTTCATTACTGAATGGTGAAATCCATAGTGAAACTAAATCAAAATGGCTGATACATTGCATGGAGGCACATGGACAGCCTTTGTGAACTTTGGAAGCAGAGAAATTGAGGGAGGACAACCTGCTAGCCCTCCCTTATTAACTTAGCATTGCAGTTCCTTGTGGTAGTCACTGGATCTGACCTCAAATATCCTACTTTTCCTCTTTCTGGACATGAGACTGCACATTCTCAGCTCCCTTTAAAGTTAACTGTGGGCATTTGGCTTGCTTTGGCCATTGAAATGTGAGAGTAAAGTGACACAGGTCACTTCTGGGTGGAAACTTTAAGAGCTAGTGTGTATTTTGCCACTTTATCTTTTCATGCCTTGGTGATTGTGGAAGCACATGTTGAAATGAAGATTCCATCAGCTTGGGTCCCTAAGAGATTACAGTGAGCAGAACATCCTTGCCAATCTGCAGTGGATATATAAGTGTGAGCAAGACATTAACATCTGTCATTTTAAGCTCCTGAGATTTTTTTAAAGTTGTTTGTTTATGCAGCAAAATCTAGCCCATACTGACTGATACACTCCTTACAATTCAACTGCATATGGGAGAATGGTTTCTTTCTCCACCTAAGGTGAGTCAAAACATGTGTGTAGTCTCATTCCTGTGGATAGTTTCCTAGGAACTTCCACCTCCAGTGCCTTTACAGCCCTTTTCATCTCCAAAGAGCACATGCCATTTTTCTTCTCACCATACCATACCTAGATTTTGCTTTGGCAACCCTTTCCTCTGTTCAAAGGTAAGAAAAAGGAATCTCTTTTTTGTTTTATGCAAGGAATGCAGAACACAACTAGGAGTATGAAGCAGGGAAGACATTGAGAGTTTATGTCAGGACTCATTTCACTAGTATTTCCCCATAACTGCAATTGGCCCCCATTTTTCCTTCACTCAGGTTCATTCATTGTTATCCTTCCAAATCCCATAGTTGTTCACAACTCAGGCAAGTCACGGTTCCCTCCTTTGATAAAGAATAATAATAACAATGTAGATCTCTCTCACTTTCTCTTTTTGCAGTTCTCAAGACCAAATTTTAAACTACAGAATCTTTACTAACTGTATTTCTACTTCCATGGCCCCACCACACAGTTTATCTGCTGCTGCATGCATCTTTATAAATGCTGGGGGTTAAGAATATTTCATTCTATGTTACTCTGCATAAATATCTGATGCCTGAAAATTGTTTTTTCAATGTGACTCTGATAGATGGGATAGATAAGCTGTCCTAATTTTTTTTTTGAAAGAGGCAACTTCCAAAGTTGGATTTTACATTGAGATATTCTCCTTCATTATTAAAACAAAAAGACAAACAAAACCAATTCTGTGGTTATTTCCTGTCTTGAATTATGGAAACCATCCCTGTTATCTATAGCTGTCTGAATTTTGGAAACCATCCCTGTATCTATAGCTATCTGAATTTTGATGTTTGGGCATTTTGCATACATTTATGTGAGGGTTAGACAGATGTCTTATGACTGTATGAGGAAATGACATGATATAATAGTTTAGAATGAAACTCTGAAGAGAACCTTGGCTTGTACTCTGGACATTCTTTAATGCAAACTTGGGGTGATGAAACCTATCACAAAGGCTTGTTGTGAGCACTTAATGTGAATGGAATAGAGGAAAATAACATTGTTATTCCTAACCCCCTTCACTTTTTAAAGAAGTTTAATTTGCTGATAACTGGGTGTATAATTATGCAGGCTGCAGGTGATAGACTGGAGGGAGGAAAAGGAATCAGTGGGGCTGGGGGCTCTATGAGGGTTGAAGGGGACAAGGAAAACCCCAGCTGGCAGCAAAGTTGGAGAGTCGGGGGAGGATAGTTAGCTCTGATGAGGATGTTTGAAACAATTTGATGAGGATATGTGATGTAAGACCTCTTCTGTGTTTCGTCTTTGAAATTTTTAATAAAGTCTATTTTTTAAAATCTCAAAATGCTGACAATGATTGTGTTTCTTATGTAAAAATGGTGTGGAGGCCTAAGTTCTTACTGGCATTAGGCTAAAACAGAGTCAGTTTGTAAAGAAGGAGTAACAGCTTCTATCTTCATTATAAATGAAAACAGTCCACTGCCTGGCAAATCAAGGAGGTCTAAAAATCTCTCTACATCCATTGTCTGAGAGAGAAGGAGGTATTTTGTAACAGGGAACAAGAGTGGACATTTATAGCATTTGAACAGTGTTACATTTGCAAAGGTCTGTGATACAGCATTTAGAGATTGAAGTAGCTGGCAATTAGCAACAAAGTTAAAGAAGACATTGTTTCTTAAAGTCTGAGATTTAGACAATTGGAGACAGAAATACTAAGGATTCAAGTACAATATAAAGAAATCAAGTGCTATCGTGAGGACTCAAGACTGCCATGTGATACGGTCCATTGTGCATACAGAGGTAGCTGTGGATGATACTGAACTAGGTTATGAGAGAATACAAAAATCTGGACAGGACCGGGGCTTCCATAGGAGTTTCTATAACCATTTATGGTGGATCATTCATCTGTATCCTAGAGTAAACAGTTTTGGGGGAATATAGTAGTGTTTGTAAACTATATAGTTGTTGTTTTGCTTTGGGGCTTGGCTCAAATGTTTATTAACTTTATCATAAATCATTTCTTAATGTGGGATCAGTTCTTAATCAAACTTTTTAACAAAATTCTTAGAAAATACATCTAGGTACCTAACTTAGATGGATACAGGATTACATTTATGGCTAAGTTTCTGAATCCCAGAACGTAGAGTAGGTAAGAAGCCATCCTCGTGAAAATCTGTCTCAAAACTCATCATTGTGCACTTCCATGTGTGTTTGATAGCCCAGGATTTTCTTTTCAATATCCTTCCTCCTAGTTATAAAAGTAATAAGCACTATAAAAATAAACACCATAAAAACAATACAAAATAGTTGGTCTGAGGGTGCTGGGTTATTGTTAAGCTGAGTAACATTGTCTCCTCCCACAACCATACTTGACTAGTTTTTTAAAAATATAAAATGGGAACGCCTAAAGAAGAAATTGAAAACCATACTTAATCTCACCATCTAGATATAAACATTTTACACCATAGAATATTTAACATTTGGGTTTTGGAAACTAAGTTGATGAGCTCTATAAGGACAACCCTGAAAATAAAAAATTGGTCCTTAGCCAAGATTGAGATATATGTACATATATATCCTTTAATTCTTGAAATTTACAGAGGAACCCTACAGTCTTTTATATTATTCCTTAGATACGCAGTGATTTCAGTATTTGGAATTGCAGAAATGAACATTTGATTTATTAAGATAATCTTTACTTGCTTGCCAAATTTGTTTAACTATCTAACAAGAAAAGTATTGACTACTCTAGGTGTTCCATCATAGCTGATTCATGTGTGTGATGAAACAGGTGAAGGTATCTATTCTCTCTCTTATTGTCATGAAATAAAAAGACATCTTTTCTCCTATTATTATACACCTTTTATGGCAAGTACACTGTTTATTATAGTTTTTCTTAACCTCTTTACATGTTTTCTTTATTCTGTGTGTTACTTTTCTGATTTAACTCTGAAAAATAAGATAGAAAAGAATGAAGAATGTAATTTTAAATAATTAGGACTTGATATATTGACACATCTCCTTCTTAAAAATTATTAAATTCTATGGGAAAATTCACGGAACACTAAGCCCATGAAGGAATCTGCATACATGTCTGCATTACAGTATTGGATATAATATTTTGGCAAGTTTGATTACAGAAAGACTTGCATAGGATGATAAAGTTTGGTAAGGGCAATGTTTTCTGGGGATGTGTTTAACCTCCCATAGTGGAGAGAAGGAAGTCTAGGGAAAATTCCCTAACTACTTTGATTAGTCTGTAAAATTTATCTAATTAGATGACTTCTTCTGAGCACATTTGACTTGCTAATTAGTTTTCACTTAGTTAAGCAAGAAAAAAACTGGTCACCATTAAAGAAATTCTCACCCCCTACTCACTTAAACTAGATCATCTTCATGGAGATGTTTAGAAATTAACTGAAATGTCATTAGCATATTCCATTTCTTAGTCAACCTAACAAGACAATTCCCTGATGTAAAAAATGTGCCACTTTATTCTGAGCTAAAAAAAAAAAATCTATCTTTGACCAGAGTTTTTCTCATATGAATATTTTAGAACCAAGTCTTATCATTTCTAACCACAATCATCTACCAAAGAGGGAAAATTATCTGCGATTTTGAAAACATTCTTGCTGCTGCTGTGTTGAAGAAAAATGCATCTTATTAAAGCATCTTCAGCTGGCATTTTTCATGAATTGATGGACATCTGTTCAGCTTGGGTATTGTGCAGCTCAAAACACATTTATTCTCTCAGCATTCTTAAGGGGCTCTGTGCACTCTTTGAATGCCAAAGATAACATCTAGATCAGCAATTTCTCATAAATCATTGGAACATGGAACATAAAACAAGAAGAAACCAGGAATTCAATAATAAATATGGCAAGGTGCACAAACAAGAGAATTGAAACCAGATGAAAAGAAGCCTTTCAGAACAGAAGGTCAAGAAACACGTTTCCCCTGCTCCCTCAGAATAATCCCTCTGATTGTGCTTCTATCCAGCCATCAGCTTACTGCTCTGAGTTGGTTTTGGGATATTTATGTGGTGAATTTAAGGTTTTAACATACAACTGAAAAATTAGTGTAGTTTATTTTAGTTTGCTCTAGGCTCCAGGCCATTACGCAATGAGGGGGTAAATAGTGTTTATTGTACTTTAAGGAGTACTGTGCCCACATGCCTTAACATAAATTCTGGATATGAGTACATAAATGTAGCTCAATGTATGACATACACACACACACACACACACACACACACACACACACACACACACACACGAAGTTACATAAAGCAATGTTCTTACCAAAAAGGGGTCCTGATCCAGACTCTAGAGGGTTCTTGGATTTCATGCAGGAAAGAATTTGGAGTGAGTCCATACAGTAAAGTAAAAGCAAGTTTATTAGGAAAGTAAAGGAATAAAAGACTGGCTATTCTATAGGAAGAGCAGCTCTAGGGGCTGCTGGTTGCCCATTTTTATGATTATTTCTTGATTATACGCTAAACAAGGGGTGTAGTATTCATGCCTCCCCTTTTTAGACCACATAGGGTAACTTCCTGATGTTGCCATGGCATTTGTAAACTGTCATGGTGCTGGTGGGAGTGTAGCAGTGAGGACAACTGGAGGTCACTCTCATTACCATCTTGGTTTTGGTGGGTTTTGGCCAGCTTCTTTACTGCACTCTGTTTCATCAGAAAGGTCTTTATGACCGGTATCTTGTGCTGACTGTCCATCTCATCCTGTGACTAAGTATGCCTTAACTTACTGGGAATGCAGCCCAGCAGGTGTTAGCCTTATTTCGCTCAGCCCCTATTCAAGATGGAGTTGCTCTGATTCAAATACCTCTGACAATGTAACTAGCTTTGTTTTTAAACAAAAATGTCAGAATTTGTCAGGAGCCATGTTAGAAAGATATACATATTCCAACAATATTGACATAACTAAATATATTATGGAAATATTGCTTTGAATCTTGAAAACTGAAGTCCATTTATTAAAATATCCTCTGTGGTGACAAATTGTCATCATTTTCAGTGAGGTTGAACTTCTGGAAACATAATCATTTGGTGACAAGTATGGTAAATAGTGTAGGTGAAATAATCTTGTTAAAAACAACGTGGAATACTTAATAATGAAAGTGGTTTTGAAAGCACTTCCAAGGACAAGTTACAAAAGATGGCCAATGTCTTCCCACACAGTTATTCAATATGTAAGCTGAATATTGGGATGTTTTTGGACTTTGTTTTGTCTGTAACAGCCTCGTTTTACTCTTTTATTTTTAATATTTTAGTTTAAAGTGCTTGAGGAGAGCACACTTATAAAATGAATCCTAAGCAATCATTTTAAACTAAAGAAATTATCATATGAATAAACAGTAGATCACTGCAAGTTCAGATTTATTAACACTTGCATGTTGTTTGTTGTTTTAAAAAATCTGAATGCTTTCATGGCATATTTTGTGATTATATCATCTTTAAGATACTAAGTTGATTCATTTTGGTCCTTTCCAGGTCTCCTTAAATTTAGTTTTTTACCCTTGATTTTAGTTATCCATATTAGGCTTATCAGAAATAAACCATTGCAACACAGGCAAAATCCCCTCACACCCACCTCCTCAGTCCCCCACTGAGGATAACTTCTTCCCATGCAGAGATACATTATCCCCCGCATTGGTCACTGTTCAAAAACCGAATTCTATTTTGTTACCTAGGTTTTTCACTACACAGGTAGGCATTATCACATGTGGACCTGGCTCTATAGCTAGAAAAGCAGGGTCAAAGATGCAGCCCTTCCACGTGCCAACTATTACTCAAGTTGCTCAACTGCTCTGTGCCTTAGTTTTCTTGTGGGCAAATTGGAAATTATTGTAGCTCCTAATTTATGGATTGTAAGTTTTAATGAGTTTAAAACACCACAAAGAGCTTCTGGTAAATGGTGAATCTCAATAAACATTTGCTATTATTAATATACTAAAATAAATATATAGACAGGGCATGGTGACTCACGCCTATAATCCCAGGAGGATTGCTTGAGGCTAAGAGTTCAAGATCAGCCTGGGCAACATAGAAAGACCCCCATCACTACAAAAAAAAAAAAAAATAGCTAGGTGTGGGCGTGGTGGTGCACTCCTGTAGTCCTAGCTACTTGGGAGGCTGAGGTGGGAGGATCACTTGAGCCCAGGAGTTCAAGGTTACAGTGAGTGATAATCATGCCACTACACTCCAGCCTGGGCAACACAGTGAGACCCTGTTTGTAAAAATTAAAAAAAAAAAAAGAAAAGAAATTAAATCAATAAAATAGATATACAGAGTAGCCTTTTAGCTGTATAATTATTCTTTTAATTTAGAAATGTATGGAGAACATTCTCCCATACCTGTAAACACATATTTTATAGCTGATAGTATTTCAGTTTATGGATACACAATAATTTACTACATTAACCCACTACATTGGATATTTAGATGTTTCTAAATTTTTGCTTTTGTAAATGATGTGACAACTTTGTTCATTATTGTTTCCTTAAAATAATTGCAGTTTATGGGCAATTTTATACTGTGGGTGTTTTTTGTGGGTTTTTTTTTTTTTTTTTTTTTTGGTAGAGATGAGGTCTCACTATGTAGCCCAGGCTGGTCTTGAACTCCTGGCCTCAACGATCCTCCCACTTCAGCCTCCCAAAATGCTGGGATTGCAGGTGTAAGCCACTGCATCTGGCCTCAGGTACATTTTTAATCATTTTGATTTTATTTTCCAAATCAGCCATTAGAACTGCATCAACGTACAGTCACATCTATAGAGACTATATTAATCTCTAGAGCTAATCATGTACATTTCAGTCTGTACATCAGCATAATTCCTCTCTACTGCTCTAATATATTAGCTGCCTCTATACATTTAACACAGACTTCTCACACAGAAAAACAGGTTTTTACTAGTTCAGTCACCCAAATTATCTATATTATTGCAAATGCCTGGTTCTTTCCCACTGCCTTTGTCTTTCTTCTTGATTCCATTTCCTGTCTCGTCTCTACTCCTTTCTCCTTACATCCTGTTGCATGTCTGTTTCTTCAGAAAGGTGCAAGCTCCCAATCTCAGGAATTTTCTTCTGACCTGCTATCACTAGAGTTCTTCAAAGCTTAGGGTCCCTACTGCACAAAGATCTGGTCTTCTTCCTTTAAGCCGGATGAAATAAAAGATGAATACTAAAGAAGGCTTACAATGAAAGCAGAGGCAGAAAACAATAAAAGAAGAGAAACCGGCCGGGCGCGGTGGCTCACGCCTGTAATCCCAGCACTTTGGGAGGCCAAGGCGGGCGGATCACGAGGTCAGGAGATCGAGACCATCCTGGCTAACATGGTGAAACCCCGTCTCTACTAAAAATACAAAAAAATTAGCCAGGCGTGGTAGCAGGTGCCTGTAGCCCCAGCTACTCGGGAGGCTGAGGCAGGAGAATGGCGTGAACCTGGGAGGCGGAGCTTGCAGAGAGCCGAGATCGCGCCACTGCACTCCAGCCTGGGCGAGAGCGAGACTCCGTCTCAAAAAAAAAAAAAAAAAAAAAAAAAAAAAAGAGAAACCTCTACTATGGGGGATGATTCTAAGGTAGGGCTCATGTACGTGGAAGTTCTTTATACATTGAAACAAAAACATTTAAGAGACATCCTCAGGTGTAGAAACAAGGCATAGAACAAAGTGTAGTGAATGTTGCCATTTGCATTAAAAAACAGAGTATAAGAATATGTGTGTGTTGCTGGTTTATCCATAGCACACATCTGACAGCATACCAAACACTCTGGTAGCTCTCATGGCCTCAGGAAAGCTGGGGGTGAAGAACAAGGATGTGAAAGGGTTCTTTTCATTCCCTATCCTTTCATACAGTTTGATTTTTTTTTTTTTTTTTTTTTTTTAAGACAGAGTCTCCCTCTGTCGCCAGGCTGGAGTGCAGTGGTGTGATCTCGACTCACTGCAACCTCCACCTCCCAGGTTCAAGCGATTCTCCTGCCCCAGCCTCCCGAATATCTGGGATGACAGGTGCGCACCACCATGCCTGGCTAATTTTTTTTTTTTTTCTTAAGTAGAGATGGGGTTTCATCATGTTGACCAGGCTGGTCTCAAACCCCTGACCTCAGGTGATCCACCTGCCTTGGCCTCCTAAACTGCTGCGATTACAGGCGTGAGCCAATGCACCCAGCCTGAGTTTTGAACTATATGAATGTATTGTCTGTTCAAATGTAGATAAGTAAAATATGTTAAAACTTCTCATTAGTGAATGCGTTGTATTACTCCTTAACTTACATAATGAAGCTTTTCTCTTTATAACCCACTCCCTGTCTTTATCCTAAATTGTCCTATTAGCATACACAATAAAGGACCCCGGGGACTAAAAGGCATTCTTCTGACAAAATTGTTAATCGTAAATTTCAATTATCCACAGCCTGAATATGACACATCTCTGTCATGAAATCCTTCCATGTTATCTTCATTTTCATTTTATGTTGGGTAAAAACTAAGGGTTTGGGAGGGAGGGGCAGCAATTGCTTGTAGGTTTCAAACTCAGAGGCAGGGTTGGAGGAAAAAAAACCTAGGCTTTCCTTTTTTCTTTTCTTTCTGTTTTTTTTTTTTTTTTTTTTTTTTTTCAGAAGGAGGAAGCTCATTATGTTTGGATCACCCACAGCTATAGATTCTAAAAATATTTTGGCTTTTTTTGAGGTGCTTTAGTAAAATATAACCCCAAATGATTCACTTGGACAAGTGGTCTTAACAGCAAGGAAAACAAACACTTTATGAAAACAGCTATAAGCCTTCTGTCTTTTATCTTTACTATTTTCTCCGAGTCTGGCATGAAACAGATACACAGCAGCCTCCACAGGGGGTTAAGTAGAGAACCATCCAAGCATCACAGAGTGTCATCCAGAATTCTGATGACTTCCATTCGTTGACTCTGATGCACAATATGCCTGGCTTGGGATGCAGCGACCATGATGCCCCTCCCAGAACAGACACTTGCAGAGTGTTCCAGGAACAGCAGCTCCCTCCAGCCCCCAGCACAAGATGCACACATCTCAGAACAAGCCTCCATCCTTTTCCTAGAGAACTGAGCATAAATAACTTGTTCTATATCTGGCTCCAAGTCCATTTCTGTTCTGTCTTGGAGTAGAGTCTTAGCTCCCAGTTTGTTTTAGGTCAACTTTCAGCACCTACTTCAGCTCACTTGTTTGATTTACTAAGCTCTTGCTTCTGTATATTATCAAATGTAGGGATGTAGGGAGAATAAAAGGATCTAGATACTTGCTTTTAGGAGAGATTAGAACAAAGCTGAAGGTGGAGGCATTAGTTCCTAGGTCTTCAGATCTCAGAGCAAAGGACCCACTCTGGAGCCTAAATTCTATGAGAGACCACAGAGCAGCCTGAAATCCAAAGGAGTTTTACACAGGAAAAAAAAAATACTGTGAGGACTTACACTAAATAATAATGTTGTTTTGAATGGGGTTGTGGGTAATTCCTATATTCTTCTTTATAACTTTTGTACTTTTCAAATTCCCTAATGTGAACTCACTACTTAGTAGGTCTGTAAGCTTAAACATTACTATGGCTTGGAATCTCATTTCAAAAAATCTTTAAAATGGGGACAAGAGTAAAAATTTCTTAGCTTCTATGGAAGAATAAAATGAAATTATAATGATACAGTGCCTGGCATGTTGTGGTCGCTCAATAAACACTGCTTTCCTCCCCATTGTCCTCCTCTTTATTCTGTTTCATTACAAGGTCAGCAGATTGAATCAGGACCAGCTGGGAGGGCTACTTCTATGAGAGAAGATCTGTCCACAGTCATGGTTTTCAATGTTTAGTGCACCAGAATCACCTTGAGGGTTTGTTAAAACAGACTGCTGAACATAACACATCTATGAGAATGGCCAAAATCCAGAACACCAAATGCTGGTGAGGATGTGGAGCAATAAAAACTCTCATTTATTGCTGATGGCAATGCAAAATGGTACAGCCACTTTGGAAGACAATTTGCCAAATTTTTACAAAACTAAGTGTACTCTTACCATACAATCTAGCAATCATGCTCCCTGGTATTTACCTAAAGGAGTTAAAAACTTATGTCTAGACAGAAACCTGCATATGAATGTTTATAGCAGTTTTTTTCATAATTGCTAAACTTTGGAAGTAACCAAGATGCCCTTCAGCAGGTGAATGGACAAATAAACTGCAGTAGATGCAGACAGTGGAATATCATTCCATTCAAATGAGCTATCAGGTTGGTGCAAAAGTAATCGCGATGTTTGACATTATTTATATGGTTAATGGCAAAACCCACAATTACTTTTGCACCAACCTAATGTTAAGCCATAAAAAGACTTGGAGAAAACTTAAGTGCATATTACTAAGTGAAAGAAGCCAATCTGAAACGGCTACAGTCTGTATAGTTACGACTATAGGAAATTCTAGAAAAGACAAACTATGGAGACAGTAAAAGGATCAGTGGTTGCTAAGGGTAAAGGGGAGAGAGGGATAAGTAGGCAGAGCACAGAGGAATTTCAGAGCAGTGAAACTATTCTATATAATACTACAATGGTGGATACATGTCATTAGACATTTGTCCAAACCAATAGAATGTACAATAGCAAGAGTGAGCCCTTAATGTAATGTATGGACTTTGGGTGATAATGATCTGTTCATGTAGGTTCATCCATTGTAACAAATGTACCACTCTGGTGGGGGATGTTGATAATGGGAGAGGCTATGCATTTGTAGGGGCAATGGGTATATAGGAAATCTCTGTACCTTCCTCTCAATTTTGCTATGAACCTAAAACTACTCTAAAACATTGAGTCTTTAGGAAATAAACTTATTTAGGAAAAGAAAAAAAGAAACCAGACTGCTAGGTCTCGCCCCCAGAGTTTCTGATACAAAAGGCCTGGGGTGGAACCTGAGAATCTGCATTTTAGTAAGTTCCCAGGAGATATTGATGCTGCTGGTCCAACAAGCACACTTTGTTGGTCCAGAGAGCACATGTGGATCTACAAGATGTATGATAAAAGTCCATTTCAAATTAGTCTAAATGTAAATATCTGGTTGCTTCTTTCTTATTTCTCTTTCCTCCCTCCCTTTCTTCCTTCCTCCTACCTCCCACATTTTTTATCTTCATATTTGGGGGTTATAGAAACCAACTATATTTCTCACCTCTGTATTTTTTTGTCAACAGCTCAAGCCTCTTCTTATGTTAAGAAACCAGGAGGGAGCAACAATGTTGTTTTGTGTTAAGTATCTTGTTTCATTCAGATACTAAGAAAGAGAAACAAGTATTCTCTGGGTTGTTTGCTAATCTGAACTGGTATTGTCTATTCAGAATAGAAAGTCTTTTTGATGACTGATGGTTTAAAAAAAAAGGGGGGAAACTCTATAGGCTACCTGTTGCCAAAGAGTATTTTTGACATTTTAGGGTTTGTTTTATCTTTTATCAATATAAATATTTGAAAAATATAATAGTCAGGAAAATGGCTAAGGAAAACATTTCAGATCAGTGCTTGAAAGGACAGCTCAAGTTCAGCCTGAAGACTATTAAAGCCCTCCTCGTCTTCCACTCAGCAGCACCGTGTCCTTTCTTGGGGCCCATGAGCCCACTGAAGTTGAATACAAAGTGCTGTGTTTGCTTATGTGCATTTTTCTGGGAAGGTTTATGGCCTTTGGTGGATTTTCAGAGGGATTGTGACACACACACAAAAAAAGATTAAGAAATACTGCTATGGGGATGTGTCTGGTCAAAAGCTACATCTTAATTTCTTGATAAAAAAGGTAAATTTCTAGCGAGCTAGCAAGATACCACCATCTCAGCGTTTCTCATTGTTAGAATAGAGAAAAATGTTTTCCTAAATGAGTTCTTGTCACATTTAATGAGAGGTTCGTAAGGCCCTTAGCATAGTATCTGGTGTATGATAGATGCTAAATAAACGGCAGCCAGTAACAGTGAAGTCCTGCTTGCTGTGCCATTTGTCTTACGGTGATTGCTACACAAGCACTAGAAGCAAAAATCTTTGGCATATCTTTGATTCGAACTGAAGGATCAGTGGTCTCTCTCTGTGAGATAGGGGTTATTACCTTCATTTTACCAATAATGAAACTCAGCTTCATTTCCAAAAGGACTTAGAGGTAGGTGTTATTTTGTTACATTCACTTATTAGAGCCATATTTTCTGTCAGTGAAGTTGTATCATCATTACATACGTATACCAGCATTTTACCCATTGTGTCTTGCAGGGAGTATCGTGATTTCTGAGCACTCAGCCTCTGAAACAAGTCTGAGAAGGACTGGTCAAGATGAGATCTTGGAAGACAGCTTGGCCCAGGCTGGGAAGCATTGATGGGTAAAGATTCCTCCATGCCTTTTCATGGCCTTGTCTGGTTCTCAACTCTGTGCTCTGCCTCTGAACCACTGCCATGGTGAGGAGTATTGCTTATCCCCCCGTGTCATGCTCCCTAGGAAGTAGTTTTGTACTTAAGCAAAAACTTGGCTAAGAAAGGGAAAATATAACATATGCTCATGCACAAAACAATAACACACACATACCACTTAAAATATTTTGTTTTCCGAAAAACGTGAAAACAAACAGACTCCAAATTAAGATAATATTTTAACAACTTACACTGTTGAGGTTGATGATAACACTCAGCAGAAATGCTTACTGTTACTCCCAGCTAATTAGTCTCTTGTGTTATTACAGTTCCTCCTCTTAGCCAAGGACCTCACAAATGGAGTAGTTAGGTCCTTGCTACTCAACATGTGGTCTGTGCATCAGCAGGATCAGCATAACCTGGTCACTTGTTAGAAATGCAGAAACTCAGGCCCACCACAGACCCGCTGAGTCTAAAATATACATTTTAATAAAAGCTTCAGGTCATTCATATGCACATTAACGTTCAGGAAGCATTGGTTTAGGTAACCAAATACTTTCTGCTGAGCACATTTCCAGGGCATGGAGATAGCTTTCTGCTTCTTGCCTTTCGTCCTTCCAGCACACAGAAGGGTCAGTACCAGAGTACCTCTCTGCTCTCTAGAATCCTCCTCCTCCTCTTCCTCCTCCTCCTCCTTCTTCTTCTCCTTCCTATTTCTCTTTCTCTTTCTTTTTTCTTCTTCTTCTTTATTAGAGACAGAGTCTCACTATGTTGCCCAGGCTGGTCTTGAACTCCTGGGCTCAAATGGTCCTCCCTCCTCAGCCTCCCAAAGTGCCAGGATTAGGCTGGGTGCAGTGGCTCATGTCTGTAATCCCAGCATTTTGGGAGGCTGAGGTGGGCGGATCACTTGAGATCAGGAGTTTGAGACCAGCCTGGCCCACATGGCAAAACCTCGTCTCTACTAAAAATACAAAAAAATTGGCAGGGTGTGGTGGTGCACACCTGTAGTCCCAGCTACTCAGGAGGCTGAGGCAGGAGAATTGCTTGAACCCAAGAGGTGGATGTTGCAGTGAGCCGAGATTGTGCCCCTGCATTCCAAGCTGGGTGACAGAGCGAGACTCCATCCCAAAAATAAATACATAAATAATTTTTTTAAAAAAGGTAGCGAGATTACAGGCGTGAGCCACCACAACCGGCAAACCACCTCCTTCTTCTCCTTTTGTGGCTTCTGGCTCATTGAAGCATCTAGGGATGTGTCCCATGTTGATCAAGATTGATTGCCACCCTCTCCTGAAAAGCCCTGAGCCAGCAAAATCAGAAGCCAGGCAGAAGCAATTCTCCATTCCACCAAAATTCTTCTGTGTGGGCACTAATGGGTAAAGTGTAAAGGCTCTACTTCCCAATCACAGCACTCCTAGAGCAAGTTTTTAATGACTTAAAATGAAAGAACTTGCTGCTCAGGATTCTAACACATAATTAATAAGAGCATGCTGGAAAAAAAAAAAGGAGAGGTTAGGAAGTGACACGAGTAAAGAGAGATGTATTTAAAATAGAAACATTGTGGGCCTTGCTGGGGCACTGTTCTATTTACAGGTAAGCCACTTACCTAACAATTTCTGTATGGGAAAGTGCTTTACCCAGTTCCACAGTGATGATTTTCAGAGTGCGCTTGCATACCAGTAGTGAATTTGAACCCACTATTGGCCAAGAGCAAGCTGACTATGTGGATCCTGGGACTGCCAGTTCAATGTGTGTGCCTGTTTTAAGGGTAGAAAGGATTTGTTGTTAACCAGGTATAGTCAGAAACGTAGACACGGACACAACTGTCCTGAAGGAAGAAGTTTTCATGCTCACAGATCCCTAGAAACAGGAGGCGTGGCAGGTTGCACAGGGCCACATAGGGAAGCATTCAAGAGGCAGAGGAAGCAGGAAAACACAGGCAAGAGCCTCGATTGTGGTTTTCACAGGAAGGACCAGGCGAGGCTGAGTAGGCAGGTTCGTGGCAAATTTGAGCACTTTCAATGAGCTCTGGGGTACGGGAGCTGTGTCAAGCTGTCTTGTAGCTGGCCCTGGGGTGATTAGGGCAGGTCCCAGAGTGTAAGAATCCTGAGAGAGTTCAATAAAGGAGGTGTTTGTGGGTTTGGGCTCTGGATTGGTTGGTTTGTATGTAAAAGGCGCATTCACAAGCTAATTGTCTGCTTTCTCTAGTAATTAGCTAACCTTGGGAGGGGTAGTCCCTCCAGGGTCAGCAAGGCCTGAAAATGTCAACACATCAGAAATATAAAAATAAAAAGGCACGATTAATACCAGCCCAACGAAATGGAATGAGCCTTTGAAGCCAAAGTCTGGAGAAGTTCAAGCTGTCTGTTCAAGCTGTATCTACACACGCAAACAATCATTTTGACCATTTGGAGGGAAGAACTAAAATTAATTCTGTAAGCTGTTCATCTAATATACATTTATTAGTGGACAAACTGAGTAATTCATTTGGGGGGTGTCTAGGGAAGGTGGCATTAGTGAGCCCTAACTTCAGGAATATAAACCATGCTCTTAGGGGTATCCAGTAACTATCACCAAGAGAGATGGGAACTGTTGTTGCTGTTGTTATTATTATTATTATTAAAATGGTGTCCAGACTTGGGGACAGAGCAAATGATGGCAGCTTCCCAAAGACACAGGGAGAGAAAAAGCAGGTTGAGTCGCTGAGGGTAGAAATCAAAAAAGAGAACCTTGTCAGGGGCTAGCCTTTGACACGAGGAGCTCTGGGATTCTGCAGCAGAAAGTCCTCCAGTGAGATCTCCTCTCAGACTCAGGGAGGTTAAGTGATGTGACAGAGGTCACAGAGGAAGAAAAAGGCAGATCCCAAGCCCAAATCCAGCTCAATGGGCTTCTTAGCCTGGAGAAGTCCAGGGTAGTGTTTCTCAAACTTTAGCTGCTTCCAAATCATCCGGAGGGTTTGTTAAAACAGAGTGCTGGGCTCCAGCTCCAGTGTCTGATTCAGTAGGTCTGGAAAGGGAACTGACAGTTTGCATTTCTAAGTTCCTAGGCAATGCTGATGCTGCTGGTCCAGGGACCACACTTTGGGAACTCCTGCTCTATAAACTTCCACCACTAGATAGAGACAGTTTGGATACTGCTTTCCTAACAGGCCATTACCATGTTCCTAACTCCTAAGGACGGCTTGTCTACTGGACTATAGCAGAGAAGTCCATTAATGCATAATAGGGACAGGAATGATCAGTGTTCAAATGTCTCCTCCCTCCCTCTGTTTCTTCTCCTCTTCCCCTTCCCTTTCTCACTGGGGAAAGATTTTGGCTTAACAGTCAGCTCCCAGGTTCTTTTCTAATATGTTGAAACCTCCAATTAGGCGAAACAGAAAATACAGGAAGCCTGAGAGGCTAAATTGCTGTAAATTAATGTTAAAAGAAAAGGAAATAGATTAAAAATCAGCTTAGGCTAGGCATTGCAAAGAGCCTTGGGGGTGAATTGAGAGTAGAGTAGAGAGTAAGAGGATCTGGAATCACGGCAGAAGGTCAGGAGGAGAAGAGAGAAGAAAGGTTCAGTAGACTATGGACTAAATGTCTTTCATAGCCTTCAACAGATACAATCAGAGATTGAAGTGACTTTTACTCCTGAACTGTCTCTTTCATTGTAATTCCATGTGAGTCTGGGTC
Source organism: Homo sapiens (assembly GCF_000001405.40). Taxonomy (NCBI): domain Eukaryota; kingdom Metazoa; phylum Chordata; class Mammalia; order Primates; family Hominidae; genus Homo; species Homo sapiens. The sequence continues at coordinate 170,828,415 of NC_000003.12, read as the reverse complement.
ACATGGGTTCTAGGATTGATAAGGAACACAAAATTGGTCTTAGAGTAGTGGTGATGGCTTTATTTAGACTCATTCTCTCCATTCCATTTCAACAGATGCCAAGAAAGCCAGCTAGGAAGGCATTATCAAGATGCCCAAGGAAATTCAAGAACACTGATGTTGCATATTTAATTTTTAGTTATTTTAAAATTTGTACTATGATTCTTCTTTGTTGCCTCCAAACATTCAGTAAAAGTTTATTATACAAAACAGAAATGTCCTGGAGAATGAGAAAGAAAGTAGTGTGTCTGTAATGGGAACAAAGTGGTAGTGAAGAGGATAGCAGCTGATAAGAGCAGTGATGCAAAAAGTAGAGGGGATGGAAATGAGACCAGGAGTGGAGGTTTGGAGTGAGAGGTGATAAGTGAGTGTGAAAATAATATAAAAATTGTAGAAAGCACTGAGTTCCTTACAGGCTATAATAGTTCTTTAACCATTAAACACAAAATTGGTTCCAAAAGCTGGAGAATAGTGGTACCTCTTAATGCTAGAGAAGAGAGTTGGATCATTTAAGCAATTTTTATAAACTCGTATAAGTTATTTAAATGTACATATGATCTGTCTTGAAACAAGAGAGCTATTATACTAAGAGTCAAGTCACCAGGAGGTGACTTCAGGATATGATGAAAAAATATATTCAATAAAAACGTCATAAGAAAGGCTGCATTTTGTAATGTTCCTAGGTGGATTCACCTTGATCAAAGAGATTTGAGCAAGGAGTTAAACATCTGGATTACAGGAAATATTTAAACAGTGTTGGTATTCTCAAAGAACCACAGAGTCCGATTTAACTTAACCAGTTGGTTTTTAGACTAAAAATCACCTGCCTGCCTCTGAAATACTTACAGAGCAATTTCAGCATTCAAATGCACAGCAACCTGACACAGGATCAATAATTTCTTTATTTTTTGAGGTTTGCTTTTCCATAATTTTAGGTAAGTTGCCCTCATTGAATTCTACCTTTCCAGACTGTAGAATTAAAGTGTGTCTCCTATTTTTATGATATATCATATTTGTCATAGTATTATTCTCTATTATATCACTATCATATATATTATTACTATATGGCATGTCATGTATATATCATAAAAATAGCCTGAATCAACAGCCCAATAAGCCTGCAATGAGCAGGCCCAGAAGCTAGATACCCATGTCTGTGGTGTGAATTGAAAAATAGTTCTGCTAAGGTGCCCAACTTCTTCCTTAGGACAAAGGCTATTTTACTCAGGAAGGTAACACATTAGATAATTTAAGCGGGTTGCATTGTAAGAGGTCTCTGATGTCACAAAATCCCAGTTCTACCATTTACTAGCTTAATATCTCCAGCCTCACTGTTCTCACCTATAAAATGGAGGTAAGTGTAACTATTTCACAGCACAGTGCCTGGCATTCAGTGCAGGTTCAGTAAATGTTAACGTCCTTCTCCCTTTGGTGTCCTTTTGGGTTACTCATAAGCTCACAAAGAGGGGCAGGATAGGAACACAAGGGCTGATCTCATTTCCAGACTGTGAGAAAGTAGGCTAGATAGAGATGAAGGTGCTACACAGGTAGAGTACTGACCTGTCTTTGAAACCTTTTAAATGCCAAGCA